>NC_000006.12:102192002-102343517 GCF_000001405.40 Homo sapiens | reverse complement strand
ATTATATAATATACTCTATTGTATATTATATAATATACTCTATTGTATATTATATAATAAACTCTATTATATATTATAAAATATACTCTATTATATATTATATATAATATACTCATATATTATATACTATACTAAAATATACTATATATAATATACTCTATATAGAGAGTATATATAATATATAGAGAGTATATATAGAGTGTATATATAATATATATAATTATATATATTATGTATATAGAGTGTATACATAATGTATGTAATTATATATTATGTATATACAGAGTATATATAGAGTATATAATATACTCTATATATATAGAGAGTATATATATAATATACTCTATATATAGAGAGAGTATATATATAATATACTCTATATATAGAGATAATATATATATTATACATAGAGAGTATATATATAGTGTATATATATAGTGTATATGTATATGTGTATATATATAGTGTATATGTATGTGTGTGTATATATACATATATATACATATACACACATACACAGAGAGAGAGAGAGAGAGCCTACTTCAAGGAAGGCCATGAAGATATTTCAAATGTTTAAATCCTAGAATTATTATGATTTATGTTTTTATTAAGGCCAATAACCTGTCTCCAATTATATTTTTGTGTAGCTTTGCAAGCAAATAAAATTTCATCTATAAAAAAATCTTTGAATGCTCTATTTACTGAAAGAAATATCCTTTAAAAAAAGTGAAGGAATAGAAGTGGCTGCCTTATAGGCAGAGCAGTGACAAGCCATTGGCATTAGCCTTAAAGAGATATTATTTCTCCTTCAAATTTCAGTAGAACTTTTGTTGTAAGCCATATAAATACAGGTCTATTTCTAGAGTTTTAATTACCTTCTCCGCATCTATTTGTCTATATACTTTGCATATGTTTTGTTATGTTGAATTTTTATGCATATGCTGGTAGTGTTTTAGCCTCTAAGAAAATAGTAACTGATAAAGTCTAATCTCCATAAAATTAACAGCTGGAAAATGATAGAACAAGGCTTTATGCCCAATCCTGTGTGCCTGTACAATTTGTGTTAGTAATACTTTACAATAAAAATTTCTATGAGAATATCACTTTCACATGGAATGGTTGTATGGTTCAAACAGAATAATGAAAGTGAATTTTTATGAGTTAGAAAGCACTAAAATGACCAAATAACAAATTATTAAGATGTGGATGCAGCACTTTTCACTGGATCAGAAGACAGTTACGGGTTCTGAATGTCTCTATTAACTATATGTCATTGAGTGAGTCACTATTTCTGCAATGTAGGATATTTGGCTTCAAAAATTTATTTTGCTTACTTCTTGGCATAAAGTTAGACTACATATGTTCTAGCATCTTTTGTAGTTAATTACATTTATGTGACTAAGTTTTGACCAAAGAAATATGTGCAATAGTAATGTACACCTCTTCCAGTTCTGGCTAATAGAATCTTCCCATGAATTGTCCTCCATTACCTTCTTTATCCTATCTGCTGGTTAGATGTTAACTTACAGGATAAATCCAGAAGCCACATATTGAAAGCAGCAGAGACTCTGTAAAACTGCATTCTGAAATGTCGTTGTGAACCAGAAAACATCCTCTCATATCCCATCCTCCAAGCTGCTATCAAAACAGCATAAGCAAAAAATGAACATCCTTTAAATTAACACTTTAAGGCTCTAAGTTGTATGTATTTCAGTAGGTAAAATTGCCCTAACAAATAGATCCAAATTTCAGTGTTCAGTAAAGCAGGATAATCTTAACTATATATAAGGCTCTTATGAAAATTTAAAAACTGATAAATATTCATAAAATTACACAAATGTGTATGCAAAGTATACATATTTCTGTTATTAAAGTTTTAGGAATCCATATCATTTCTTCAAGCAGCTTTAACATAGAAAAAGTAGGGATTATATAATAAATTTTTTTTGTTACTTAAAGCAACTATATAAAGCTTTAAAGCCTTATACATAGTAGATGACTTATTTTATTGAATAATGTTATGGTAATAAATCATGTTGATGTAGAGTAAGACATTCTGGCCTCCAAATACCATCATCTTTTTATTATTTATTTATTTATATTAAATTACCAATATATTTGTATTATAATCTGTATACTAATTGGCATTTAATTTTGTGCTGATAGAGATATTTTTGAATATTTATGATTTTTAAAGTTTACCCTTTATGTGTAAATTTGTTCTTTTACTCATTACAACATCTTTAAATAACATATTAGAGTACTAGCAAAACAAAAATTACAGAATTGACACTATCTTTGCATCACAAAGAGGAAAAATGTTTTAATAATCAAGTACTTACAGTAAATTTTAGATAAAATATATATTAAAAATGCTACCTTCTATGTGTATTGCCTTTTATTATATACTATAAATTCTAATATCAGTTACAACTGTATATATAATAAAGTTCTTAAAATATAAGCATTTGTTTCAATGTCAAACCAGGTACACTAATATAAAATTTTATAATAAACTTTTAAAGTGGAAGATAATTTCTCTGTTTTATTTATATTGGAGCTTTATATTGAGGCTCTTTTCTGAGATAAAAATTATTTATGGAAGAATTCATGTGTAAAGTATAGGGGTTCAGAAAATATTCTGTAACCTTAAGCCATCATACAATTTTTGAATTTAAAGTGTCTGGTTACATCTTTTCTAGTTTGCGAAATGTCTAAAATGAACAAGAGATTTAAAAGACTAAAGAAGGTGGCATGTATGTTTCTGATTTATTTGTACCATTTTTTTTCTCTTTTTCTCTACCAGCATCAGAGTCATAAAGTGTAAAAAGTAGCATATAGCAAGTAGTTGCGTAGCTATTACATCTGTCTGTTCAGGAGCATAATTGACAGTGGTGCCAGCATCTTAGATGTTGCCTGTGGCTCTGTCAACGATTAATCTCTTGAAGGATAAACTGTCTTTAATACATTGCTCTTTCATAATCGCTTAGATTTCTGTGATATTACATTATACTACAACTCTTACTTCAAAGAGCGCAGAGTGCCTCACAGATGTTGTATATTAATTCTCAACCTCCCTCCAAGGCCAAATCTACAAAGAATTATGTCTTCTTTTTTTTGTGATAGGATTACTTTAAGCCTGCAGCAACCATAATAAAATGTTCATTCTAAATAATGTTAAATCTTTAGTCATAATTATGTGAGGGAATATGCAAAAGTAAAAATAATCCTGAGATAATTGTAATACATTTTCCATTTTATGAAATAAATAATCACATTTACTAACATAACAAAAGTAACAAAGCTGTTCACAGTAAGAATTAATTTAAGGGATACACATATCTGAATAATGAAGGTTTTACAAAGTTATTGCATAATACTATTTAGATATGTAAATTCTTTAAAGTTAATTATATATTTTTCTAAAGATATAATATGTTTTCATGAAAATATATTTTATTTGTTTTTGAGTCAGTTTTCCTCAATATGAGGTACATTAATTACATACTACCTAGGGCTTTGTCCACTCTAAGTGATTACTTAGATTAGCCCAAACCCAGTCCATGAAATGCAAAATAGAAAAAATATTTATACAGAGATGTGAACATAGTTTTGTTTTAAAATTACAGATAATTGAAGCCAATTTATAACAGATACCATTGAGGAGCATCTGCACGTACCAGGAAAATAAAATATATAATCTCAATTCACTAAGAACTATAAAAATAATATTTTAAAAATTAATTCATTGAGTAACTAGGCTAAGTGACTTCTCTAATTTATCTGGTAAGTAAATTAGCTGAAATGTGAACTAAATGTTGCATAATTTTAAACTTCCTGTGTGACTTTAATGATTTCTGTTATCCAGTGAATACCTCAAACAGATATATTTGAAGGAAAAAGCCAGAAATACACATAAAGTTGCCTTCAAAATATATGCTGAAATATCTACTATTCTCTACCAGCAGTAATAGCTGTGGGCTTGAAAAGATGATCACACTTCTGAAACACAATAGGCTTTACTCAGCACCAAGTTTATGTAGCTTTAATAATAGAGGACAACGAATACAGCACAATCAACAGAAGAGCGGAGGTCTCATGACTTTCAGAGAAGCTTCTGAACGTCCTCATGACTCAGCTATGAAACACAAGTGATCAAGATAATTGGAGCCAAGTGGATGCGGAACATCTCAGCTTAAGAAATAATCATTTTTGACATCCCTTCAAGCTTCATACCCTCTGATTAGATAGTCCCATCAGAAGTACATGACTAGCCCCCACTCGCTAGTGAAGGGCCATCCCATCAATTGTTCATTATTCATTAATTTCTGGTGGTTAATAAACAATCTCAACAACCAGATGGCTACATGGCAAACTCAACAGGATGGTCTTTATTTTGTATCTGGTATATTCCTATATATCACTTAAATACGTTTTGTAAGATTTAAACTAAGGGTCAAATTCTCAAATACCCTTGTTGTCAGAGAAAAGACTTACCAGGCAGCTGTTTAACCATTTCTTTCCAGGTCTACCAAGCTTATGTAGTTGAATTAATTGGAAATACATAAAGCTGATTCCTTACTGTCAAAGGCTCCCATAAATGTCATTTCTATTTTCTTGTGGAATGTTAAATTGTTTTAATGTTCATATAAAATCTATTCATCTAAATGTGTTTTTGTTTGTTTGTTTGTTTTTGTTTTTGTTTTGAGACAGAGTATGACTCTGTCGTCCAGGCTGGAGTGCAGTAGCGTGATCTTGGCTCACGGCAACTTCCACCTCCTGGGTTCAAGTGATTCTTAAGCCTCAGCATCCGAGTACCTGGGATTACAGGCATTGGCCACCATGTCAGGCTAATTTTTGTATTTTTAGTAGAGACAGGGTTTTACCATGTTGGCCAGGCTGTTCTCAAACTCCTGATCTCAAGTGATCCACCTGCCTCAACCTCCCAAAATGCTGGGATTACAGGCATGAGCCACCACACTGACCATAAAATCTATTCGTATATGCCTATTCCTGTCTGTTTAGGCTGAAAAGCGTTCTGAGGGTAAAGATCTGACATTAAGAATTTTTCTGTTCCCAATATTGCCTAGTTTAATGTGAAAGAAGAAAAATAAACTAGGAGGATAGGGACCTATTTTCTAATACTATTCACTAACTTTCGGACATTACAGACCTCTGATTTTTAATCTGTAAAACAAATGGGATTGACTAGATAATATCAAATGCTTTTTATACATTAAACATACTATTCGTCTCTGAGGCTAGCAAAACATCTCACACAGGTGTAACATTACTTGGGTGGGAATTTTGGAATGCATTCTTTATGGAGTGTACATTTTTCTTGCTGATAGGTAGAAAGAAAATATTTGGGCGCTAGAAAGACACCTGTGCTGTTTTGTATCTTAATTATTTATTATTTACATGCTGAGTCCCTGTAAGAAGACTGCACATCCCTGACCATTGCCATCATAGGGCTTTCTTGTGGGAGGAGTACAATTCTCTTTTCTGTTGTTAGACTTGGCCACATAAATTTGTTTGGGGTAAGAAAATCTGAGTGGAAGTAATATATGGCAATTCTGAAGAGAACCTTTAATAGTGATTATATATTTTAGTAATTTAGTTAAATTTTTCCATATGCTATAAAGAGAGCATGTCCCCAATACCGTTAATCCCATTGAAAAGACATAGTGCAGAAGCACAGCAAACTTGCAGTTTACATGTAATGATAGAGAAAAATAAACCTTTGCTTTGAAAGCCACTGAGATTACAGTTGACATCAATTACAGGTTACTTATCAATTCCAGATTATTCAATAAAGAATCTCAAAAACTATATTTATACATAGCAACAGCTCAGTAATATACATCTTAAAGGAGATTCAGAGTTATATGTATCTCATTTCACAAAAATTTATAACACTGTATAATTTAACCTCCCCAAAATATACATACTTGTATCTGGACATAATAATGTAATTCAGCCTGACATAATAACATAGAAATAATATTAACATTTGATATTAATGCATCAGATGAAAGTAAGATGCCTCAGTGGATTGTAGTTAAATTAATAAGACTTTCCCATTTGGATTTAGTAACCTTTGAAAAACCACAAACTAGATTGTTAAAACTGGAAGGTTGAAATAGACAAATTAATTTAAAAATTTCCTCACTTCAATAACTCCCTACGATTGTCCCCCAAAAATTTTGTTAGCATTGTTATTGTTAGAGATTGATAAAAATTCATTAGTAATAGATTATAATAAAGGAATAGATATATTGAATGTTCAATCAATCTCAGAATTCTTTTACAGGCTCCAAAATGTACTCAGATGAAACATAGACAATAACATTAAGTACATCTAATCAATAATTTTAAATGGTGCATATACTTTTGGATACTTTTTCCAGATTGTTTAGAATAATACATGATGAAAATACTACTTGTAGATGGTATCTGAAAATGCAGATCTTATTGTAGTTATTATATTGAAAATAGTCACTTTACCGGCTTACGTATAAAGATAAGTATAAAAGAAATACGGATATATTACTAAGTTTAAAAATTAAAAGTAAAACTTTTATTTTGAATAGTTTTTCTAAGTGGAAAAAAACTGTTTTTAGTACTTAAAAATTAGTCAATATTGTATGATTTTATAAGTATAATATAATCTTTCATCCATATGCTGTTGCCACATCAAAGTATACTCTTCAGATATATTTCCAGCTTTTATTCTTGCATTTAGTACATGAAAAAGACAAATGCCTGAATCATTTATTAATATTTCAGTAGGCAGAATAATTCTTCCCCTCAAAGATGTTTATGCATCTATTCCTCCGTTTAGACTGAAAAAATTTCTGAGGAAAAGATCTTACCCTTTTAATGCCCAGAATCTTGAATATGTTAGGTTAGATGGCAAAGGGAAATTAAAGTCACAGATGGAATTAAATTTGCTAATCAACTGATGTTAAGGTACATAGATTATCCTTAATTATCCAGGTGGGCCCATATAATTACAAGGAAACTTAAAAGTAGAAGAGGGAATCAAGAGGGAGAGCCATGGCTGCATGGGAAGGATGTGTCCTGATATTGCTGACTTTGAAGATGGAAGGAAGAGGGCAAGCAACGAAAAAAAACGGGAGGCCTCTAGAACCAGAAAAAGACAAGGAAACAGATCCTAAAGCCTCCTTTCAGAAAGGAATGCGGACATCTTAATACTAGTCCAGTGAGATCCATGTCAGACATCTGATCCACAGAACCATAAGATAAATTTGTGTTATGTTAAGCCACTAAATTTACTGTAATTTATCCCAGCAACTTCAGTAAATTAATGCAATTATCTAATAAATCTCATCGTAATTCTTGAGCAGTACACAACTTTTCTATGTTCAAATTTCATTGACAATGAAAATAAAAAGAAGAAAATAGAAAACTTGAATTAATAAAATTGAAATTAATTACATTATATCTCTAACAAATATCCCTCTCTTCACATTTTTATTAGACTTTATTCATCTACAGTTGGCAATTCACTATTGTAAATAACTGGTGTAATTTAAATAGCCTCCTAAATTATAATTTATTTAGTAAACTGCTACCAAATTTACTTTTAAAAACGCTTTGTATTTCATTGTTTCATATTTTCTCGGAAATATTTACTAGCTTTCCATTCACCAAGTAAAAAAATACATATATTTTTATATGGTACTTCATATATCTGATATCTATATTTACCTTTATGACATCTCTTAGGTTATTAAAAAAATAATTTTTGTTCCAGTTGATTTAGTCTGCTCACTAATACACAACTAACATACATTTTTTCCCCAACATTTTTCATATTGGTTATCTTTTTCAACGCTCCACCTCCGCTCAATATCTACTGTTCCTTGAGGTTCTGATGGTCATTCATTTACTCATTCAACAAATATATATCAAAGATCTAATACATATTGATTAAATAGGGTAACTTCAATAAAAGGAAAATGAAAAGAGTATAGGTTGTTATTATTTTATAAAGCAAGACAGATAGAGTATTAATTTCAATACAGTGTGATATGGAAACTTTAAGAAGTATATATAGGAGTGATAAGGACAGAAGGCAGGAAAATACTAACTAGAAAAGGGTGGGGTTCCAGGTAAGGGCTCCACCCTCAAGCCTGGAACTGTGGCCCAAAGTGAGAACTTGCTATCCCTGTTTTCTGGCTTGACTGTTGCCTTTTTGGCCTGCCCGCCCCCATCCTGTACCCATAAAAACCCCAGACTCCACTGGCAGAGCAGTAAAGGACAGAAGAGAAGCAGCCAAATGTAGGAGAGAAGCAGCTTGACTTCAGAGGGATGGCTTGATGGTGGGACTTTGGAGAAGAGCTCAGCCGGGGACAGACTCTCCTTTCCAGCTCCCCTTCCCACTGAAAGCCACTTTCTTTCCTTTTTTTTTAATTTTATTTATTATTATTATACTTTAAGCTTTAGGGTACATGTGCACAATGTGCAGGTTAGTTACATACATATACATGTGCCATGCTGGTGCGCTGCACCCACCAACTCATCATCTAGCATTAGGTATATCTCCCAATGCTATCCCTCCCCCCTCCCCCTACCCCACAACAGTCCCCAGAGTGTGATGTTCCCCTTCCTGTGTCCATGTGTTCTCATTGTTCAATTCCCACCTATGAGTGAGAAAATGCGGTGTTTGGTTTTTTGTTCTTGCGATAGTTTACTGAGAATGATGATTTCCAATTTCATCCATGTCCCTACAAAGGACATGAACTCATCATTTTTATGGCTGCATAGTATTCCATGGTGTATATGTGCCACATTTTCTTAATCCAGTCTATCATTGTTGGACATTTGGGTTGGTTCCAAGTCTTTGCTATTGTGAATAATGCCGCAATAAACATACGTGTGCATGTGTCTTTATAGCAGCATGATTTATAGTCCTTTGGGTATATACCAAGTAATGGGATGGCTGGGTCAAATGGTATTTCTAGTTCTAGATCCCTGAGGAATCACCACACTGACTTCCACAATGGTTGAACTAGTTTACAGTCCCACCAACAGTGTAAAAGTGTTCCTGTTTCTCCACATCCTTTCCAGCACCTGTTGTTTCCTGACTTTTTAATGATTACCATTCTAACTGGTGTGAGATGGTATCTCACTGTGGTTTTGATTTGCATTTCTCTGATGGCCAGTGATGGTGAGCATTTTTTCATGTGTTTTTTGGCTGCATAAATGTCTTCTTTTGAGAAGTGTCTGTTCATGTCCTTTGCCCACTTTTTGATGGGGTTGTTTTTTTCTTGTAAATTTGTTTGAGTTCATTGTAGATTCTGGATATTAGCCCTTTGTCGGATGAGTAGGTTGCGAAAAGCCACTTTCGTTGGCAATAAAATCCTCCGTATTCACCACCGCTCAATTTGTTCATGTGATCTGATTCTTCCTGGACGCCAAACAAGAGCTCTCGGGAGCTACAGGTGCAGACATGAGCTATTTAACACTTAACTGTCCACAGAGTGCAAAGCTAAAAGAGCACTGTAACACATGTCCTCTGGGACTCCAAAGGTGGCGGGTAACCCACTAGATGCTGCCGCCGGAGTGCACAGAGTTCTGCTCCTGCCAGTGCCCAGAAGGGCTCATCACAACTCTTGCACTCACTTGCCCCTGTGTTCTCCTCACACAAGGGGTTGAGAGCTGCAAGGTGAGGAAAGTAGTCACTCCTGTGGCAAGACCCATAAAGGGGTCAAGGCAAATTTCCCGTTTCAGGAGCACAGATGGATGGGGTAGAAAAATCACACTGTGGAAGTACTTTCAAAATTAATTGATATTTGAATAAGCTAATAGAATTATATAAATGTAATAGCATTAGTAGGAAAAGGTTAGGGAGAGTGTTCCAGACTGAGAGATTTGTAACCCTGTGGTTGCTTTGGGAAAGAAAACACAGACACAGTGTTGGAAAACATTTTAACATAAAAACTAAAAAGTTTTTTTTTTCTTTAATTTACTTCAATAGGCTCTTTTGTTGTCTGCTGAGAAATTCGAAGTAAATAATAAATCACTTGGGAAATATGGAATTATTTTAAGTAAAAGAATCCCATTATTCATTTAATGTCTTATAATTTACTGTGACAGTAGTACAGAGATTAAAATGTTGAAAAGGATAGCTAGGCCAGATATCAGGAGACTGGTTTTGAGGCTGTTTACCTCAAAGAAAGAAAAATACAAAAAATTTGCATACTTCTTTATTAATGAATTTCAAAGTAGTAATGAATATAAACAATATGTTCAGATATCTGCAACATATGTATTGTGATATTAAAATATCTGCTATTTCTATTGGCGACAAAGCAGTTAGTTATGGATAATACCACGGTGATTTGGAGAAGGCAACCATAATTTTAAAAGTGCTAAATTTTGTTAGATATAAGTGAAAAAAAATGTCTTTTTTTTTTCTATTCATGTTCAGGCATTTTCCAAATCGTATGTATAAACCTCAGGTTAAGTACCCTTTGATTCTAGTCCAGGTCTAGGGGTCCAGGATTAGCTACTATTCAATGCCAGCCAGAAACAAATATAATGCCTCTCTGGAGAATATTATATCATTTTCAGGCATCAAATTATATAGGTAATTTTTATACTATTAGTCTGAATATTCAAACAAAAATAATCAGAGAATATTCCAATGAAAAACAGTAAACTGCACATTCTTTTCATGACTATATAAAATTACCAAGATAGACCATAGTGTAGGCCATAAAATAACCTGAACAAGTTTTAAAATATATAAATAGTGCAAAGAATGTTCTTAGACCATAGTTTTATTAACTATAAATCAGTAACAGAAGCATAGATAGAAATTCCCAAATAATAGAAAATTAAACAATACACTTTTAAGTAGTCCACGGACCAAGTGGGAAGATTCAAATTAAATTAAAATTATTTTAACCAAATATAAATGAAAACCCAATATCAAGTTTCTGATATGCAACTGAAGCAGAGATTTGAGTGAAATTTACTGCATGAAAATACTTATGTTAGAAAAATATAACAAATCTGAAGGAAAAGCAAATTAAACCCAAAGAAAGCAGGAGGAAAATAAGAGCAGTTAGCACAGAAATCAATAAAAATAAAACCAAAAACAATACAGTAAATCATTAAAAGCAACATCTGGATCTTTGAAAAGAACATTGTCATTCATAACATTTAGTCAAAGTAATCCAAAGAAAAAGAAAGGAATAAGACAAAAATGCGAACATCGGGATGAAAGAAGTTATATCACTACTGATCTCATAGACATTAAAAAAATGATAAAGAAATACTAGCAACAATTCGATACACATGAACTTGACAATTTAGCTACAATAAACCAATTCCTCTATAAATGCAAAGTACCAGCATTCACTGAAGAAGTAAATAACCTGACTACTTTTGAATCTATTAAAGAAATTGAATTTTTTGCTTGAGAAAATAAAAAATAATAATTCTAGTCCCAAATGACTGCACTGCCAAATTCTTCTAAATAAGAAATAAATAATAAAATTTTTAACAGTATCTTCTAGGATACAGAGTAGAAGTTACCCTAGCATAAAAAGCAAATAAATGCACTAGAAAAAAACTACAGACCAATAAACTTCATGAAATATATGCGAGAATTCTCAAAATATTAGAATAAACTAATTTCATTTTAATAGATATATAATAGACAAATGTTGAAATAAATATGGATATTTGTATGTAAGTGTATGTTTGTATATATATATTTACTAGTTCTTTGCCTTAAGAACCAAAAACAAGCAGTGACATCCTACTCAGGAGAAATAATCCTAGGTCTCAGATCTTGGTTTCTCAATGCTATTCTCTAATAAAAAGTACCAAGATTCCTTGAAGAAATTACTGATTCAAATAACAGGAAAAGGAACAGCCAAGATGGGCCAGGAACATTTTGCAGTGTAATAAAGTAAGGAGGTTATCAAACAGAAAAATAAACGTAAAAGGACTTATGGCATGTCAAAAGAACAAAGGATCCAACCTCTAAGAACTACTAATGGCCAAAGCCAAAACTATCAGAACAATAAAATAAATAGCCATAATTTTTATTATATCTCAAAGAATAAAATAAATATCCATATATTCGTGAATATGAATTCAAATTAATATAGATATATGATTGAATAAAGAAAATGAAAAAAAGTTTAAATCTTCATTACAGAAAAATTCCAAACAAAAATTGTTGAAAGAATGAAGTCATAGAAAATCACCATTAGTATACCACAGTAATGATTACTGCAAGTAACATCTATTTATACATAATAAAATGGAAGCCTAATATTAAGGAGAAACACAATATTTGCATATCTCTGAATAACCTTTCTCAAAATCTATTAATTGCTGTGGTAGTTTATCATGTATTTAAAAATTTATTAATCCCACTAAAGTTGAACCATAAATTTCTTCTTTTTAAATGTTGGCTGGACTTAGTGAATTGTTCTAACAATACAGTGGTAAAAGTGAAAAATAGTAACTTTAGAGTAGAAAAATCTGGATGACACCACATCTTAACCTATGAAGTTTAACATCACTAGTGAAAAGTCTTGTTGAAATGTGTCCTCTGATATGATGTGATGAGAAGGGCATATCGCCTTTGTGTTATTATTCTAATCATAAGAAAACATCAGACAAACTCAAATGAGAGGCATTCTACAAAATTGGACCACTATTCTTCAAAATTATCGAAGTAAAAGCAGAATGAGAAACTCTCACAGATAGGAGAAAGCCGAATAGATATCACAACTGAATTCAATGTGATTTTACGGAATGTATTTTGTGGAAGAAGTCAATGGAAAGACTGGAGAATTCTGCATAATATGCATAATTAATTAACAGTATTTACCAATGCTTACTTTTTAGTTTTGATAAATGTACTGTGTTTATGTAAGCTATTAACATTTGAGAAAGCTGGATGAAAAGTGTATAGGATTTCTCTGTACTAAATTTGGAATTATTCTATTTATCAAAAATTATTTCAAAACACAAACATTTAAAAAGATGAACCACAAAAGTAACCAGAGATGAAATAAGCCAAAACTACCTAACGGAAAAATAGACGATGGGAATAGACATGGATAGAATCCAGATAATTCAATCACCCTATTCAGACTTTAGAGTAACTATAATTAAGTAAGCATGATAAAAAAAAGAAAATTTAAAATGTCAACAATAGACTGTAAACTGTTAAAGAAGTATGAAATCTTTGTTTTACGACTTGAAACTACAATAACTGGAATTAAAATCACCAAACACCATAACACTGCTTTGTTGATAAAACACTTCTCTGCTCCTATTTTACTTGACTTTCCAGAGCATTTGAAACTGTTGGCTCACTGGTTCTACTGTTCTTACTGCTTCCTATCAATTTTCCTCTTGGGCATCCAGTTTTTCACTCAGGCTTTAAAATCTGTGCCTACTAAAATTCTCCCATTATGTGACTTCAAATCTATATGCCCAAGATTTCCAAAGAAGTGTTTTATCTCATCCTACACAATTTCTGATCAGTTGCTTTGTAATGTGTATAGTATTATATTTATTACAAATTTGGCAAGCATTTACTTCTCAGATTTCTTTTACTTTTTTATCTTATGTTTTTCCAAAAAGAAAGCTGTTTGCAGACTTGTGTTCCTTTGAAAACTTAAAACTTTCAATGCTGTGATTTGCACCACATACTCAAAATATATCGACAAATGCAATTTTACAAGGAGCCTAACTATATTTTAGTGCTACATTATTACCATCCAAGAACTAATGCAAATATTCTTAGTATTTATGTCAATATCAGGTTTTCGAAATTAATCTTTAATAATCTCTTTCACTATAATGAAATCATTTAAATTGTTAATGTTTTAGAAATGACCTACTTGGAAAATCAAAATGTCACTTTTAAAAAATCTGTTATGCAAAGCAGAATTTCTGATTTATAGTTCTAAATCTTGAAGTAAAATAGATTATTTTTCTCATATTATTATATTTTACCACTTTAATTATTGAATGTGTCCAGAGATTAAAATGACTATGAAAACGAAATGCTTTTTTTCCACAATAAATATTGAATACTTAATGACTATTTTTGCTCTAAGAGGTACTTTGGGAATGAAACACAGTTGTTCAGTGCTTACACTCTACTTATCCTCTGACTTGCTAGACACCATCACTAAATATCCACTTATGCAGCAGAAGAACTAATATTGCTTGTGAGGGCAATAAGTAAGGGCAATAAATAAGGCAATCTGTATTCCTACCACAGAGCATTTACAAGCAGAATGAAAAACACTAATCAAGCTAACTAGGCTGTGCAATGATAAAATGAGATAAAGTATGAGTTCACTTTCCAAGTGGGAATGCAACCCAGAAATATAAATAATGGAAGCATAGGAACTTTTACAGTTTCTATTTAACTATTTGTCTAATTTACATATCTATTCAAATTTTTGATTAAAATCTTTGGCAAGAAGGCATTGGGAGTGGGCGGAGGGAGGATGCAGACTTTGGGCTGAAATGGGAGGAAGCTGGGAATCCTGAACAGGGTTGCTGAGCACCAGGACTCATTCCTGGCCCTGAGTGGGAAGAGGGGAGTAAAAGAGGCATGGAGTGACCTACTCACATCATCGACCTCCAGGGTATTAGCTGTAGGAAACTTTGAGACCCCCACAGGCACTTGAACTGGTAGGGAGAATTGTCCAGAGACTTGGTAAAGACAGAACTTCAGCCTGCACAGAGCATAGAGGGGATAACTGCAGTGGAGCATGGACATGTGTGCCCATCCCACAAGGCTCATCATACTCATCCAGGTGGCTGTACTTGGCCATTCTTGCATTGTTATAAAGATATACCTGAGACCGGGTAATTTATAAAGTAAAAAGGTTTAATTGGCTCACCACAGTTCTTCAAGCTGTACAGGAAGCAGGAGCATGACACCTGCATCCCCTCAGTTTCTGGGGAGGCTTCAGGGAGCTTTTTCTCATGGCAGAAGGTGAAGCAGGAGCAGGCACATCACATGACAGGAGAAGGAGCAGGAGATGGTGGAACAGGAGGTGTCCCACTTTACAACAAGCAGATCTCATGTGAACTCACTATCATGAGGACAGCACTAAATCGTGAGGAATCCACCCTTGTGACCCAAACATTTCCCACCAGGCCTCGCCTCCAGCACTGGGGATTATAATTCAACATGAGATTTGGGTGGGGACAAATATCCAAAGTATATCAGCGGCTTTAGCTTTTGTTGGTTTCTGGATCTGAACAGAGCAGGAATATTTTGTTCATGCCATGGGGCCAGTCGGATCTGAGCACTCCTGTCTGCCAGTCTGTTCCAGGGTCACTGACTGGCCACACCTGCTTGTAGCATATCCTTGGCTGCTCAGCCAAGCCACTTGCCAGCAGCCACAACTGTAACTCTTTTACAAGCAGACCACGCCTAATAGAGAGATTCTGTGATGCGTCCCCCAGGCATGCACCACCTACAGTCTCCTCCTGAGGTGCTGACTCCACCCCCACCCACCACCAGTGCTCATGCATGTGTAGGACTGTTACTGCCCCAGTGGGCATATGCAAACAGGACCCACAGCTGGCACACACATGTGTGGGACCCACCACCTCCCAGCTGCCAGCACACATTCATATGTGAGATATCAGTTACCACACCACCATTCTGCCAAAGTGTGTTTGCCAGCAACCCACCTCTGTCAATGCTATTGCCAGTGGACTGAGAACACCTCGGCCCTTCCAGTGCAACAGATGCTTAACCTTGAGAGGCCAAAGAAAAGAACCACAGACTTCCAGCCCTGCAGGGATAGAGCACACAGCACAGGAGTGATGAGCTGAGCCTTGGCCCCCTAAAATAATCTGGAAATGAAGACAATCAACTAGACCCAAGTTATACCACAGTCAAAACCTCAAAGGCATCAAATAATACAAAAGGAAAAAGCCCCACACAGAGGAGAGCAACTTCAAATGTTAATGGAACATCAGGCCACACAGATGAGAAAGAACCAGCACACAAACTCTGACAACTCTAAAAGTCAGAGTGTCTTCTTACCTGTAAATTCCCACACTAGATGCCCAGCAATTGAAATATCTGAAATGAAAGACATAGAATTCAGTAACTGTATGGCAACAAAGATCATTGAGATTAAAGAGAAAGTTGAAACCTAATTCAAGGATTCTAAGGAATCCAGTAAAATGATGCAAGAGCTAAAGACAAAATAGCCATTTTAATAGCCATTTGGTTGTTTCTTAAACAACCAAATTTATTTTCTATAGTTGAAAAACTCACTATAAGGATTTCATAACACAACTAGAAGTATACACAGCAAGACAAATCAAGCTGAAGAAAGAATCTCAGTGCTCGAAGACCAGTTATTGAAATCAACTCAATTAGACAAAAATAAAGAAAAAAAACTTTAAAAATTGAACAAAATTGGCCGGGTGCAGTGGCTCATGCCTGTAATCCCAGCACTTTGGGAGGCCGAGATGGGCGGACCACAAGGTCAGGAGTTCGAGACCTGGCTAACACGGTGAAACCCCATCTCTACTAAAAATACAAAAAATTAGCCTAGCGTGGTGGTGGGCACCTGTAGTCCCAGCTACTTGGGAGGCTGAGGCAGGAGAATGGCGTGAACCTGGGAAGGCAGAGCTTGCAGTGAGCCAAGATTGGGCCACTGCACTCCAGCCTGGGCAACACACCAAGACTCCGTCTCAGAAAAAAACAAAACAAAAAAAAAAAAATTGAACAAAACCTCAAAGAAAGATAAGATTATGGAAAGACACCAAACCTATAACTCATTAGCATCCCAGAAATGAAGTGAGAGAAAATAAGCAACTTGGAAAGCATATTTAAGGATATTGTCCATGAAAATTTCCTGAACTCCTCTAAAGAGGCTGACATGCAAACCTCAGGAAATTCAGACACATCCAGTGAGACACTACATTAGACAATAACCACAAAGCCACATAGTTATCAGATTATCCAAGGTAAACATGAAAGAAAAAAATACTAAAGGCAACTAGAGAGTAGGAATAGGTCACATACAAAGGAACATTATTAGGCTACCACTGGACCTTTTAGTGGAAAACTTACAAACCAGAAGAGATTGGGTGCCTATATGCAGCATCCTTAAAGAAGAGAAATTCCAACCAATATTTCACATCCATCCGTACTAACTTTCATAAGCAAAGGAGAAATAAAATTATTTTCAGAGAAGCAAACACTGAGGGAGTTCATTACCACCAGATCTTCCCTACAAGAGGTACTTAAGGGGGTGCTAAACATGGAAATGAAAAACTGTTACCTGTTACCACAAAAACATACTCAAGTACATAGCCCAGTCACACTATAAAGCAACTGTACAATCAAGTCTACATAACAACAATAGTTAACAATAGTTAACTATAATCCTATAGTTAACAATAGGATGAGAGGATCAAATTCTCATATATAAATATTAACCTTGAACATAAATAGGCTAAATGCCTTATAAGGCACAGAGTGGCAAGTTGGATAAATAAGCAAGACCTGACTATATGCTGTCTTTAAAAGACCCGTCCCATATGCAAGGACATTCATACGCTCAAAGTAAGGGGATAAGGAAAGATCCACAAGAAAATGGCAAGCCGAAAAGAGCAGGGATTGCCATTCTTATTTCGGACAAAAGAGACTTTAAACCAATGATGATCAAAAAGCAAAAAGAAGGGCATTACATAATGATAACAGGTTCAATTCAACAAGAAGATTTAACTGTTCTAAATACTGGAGCACTCAGATACATACAAGTTCTCAGAGCCCCGTGAAGACAGTTATATAATGACACAATAACAGTAAGAGACTATAACACTCCACTGACAGTGTTATATTATCAAGGCAGAAAACTAACAAAGGTATTCGGACCTAAACACAACACTTGACCAAATGGACCTAACAGAAATCTACAGAAAACTCCACCCAACAACTGCAGAATATAGGTTCTTCTCATCTGTCAATGGAAAATTCTCTAAGATAGACCATATACCAAATCTCAACAAATTAAAAAAAAAACTTACTATTAACCACACTTTTGGACCATAGTAAAATAAAAATAGAAATTAATACCAAGAAGATCTCTCAAAACCATACCATTGTATGTAAATTAAACAGCCTACTCCTGAATGACTTTTGGTTAAACAATAAAATTGAGGCAGAAATCAAGAAATTATTTGAGACTATTGAAAACAAAGATACAACATAACAGACTCTGAGACACAGCTAAAGCATTGCTAAGAGGAAACTTTATAGCACTAAATGGCTACATTAAAAAGCTACAAAGATCTCAATTAACAACCTAAAATTACACCCAGAGGAATTTGAAAAACAAGAAAAAATGGGCCGGGCGCGGTGGCTCACGCCTGTAATCCCAGCACTTTGGGAGGCCGAGGCGGGCAGATCACGAGGTCGGGAGATCGAGACCATCCTGGCTAACACGGTGAAACCTCCGTCTCTACTAACAATTCATTTCATAGAAAATGAAATTACATAATGTAAAACAAATAAGACATATATATCTATATGGGTAACCCTATTTGCTATAATTATCTTTCAGTTATATAATCTGTTGAATTTGAAATTAACCTGACAGTAAACAATTTTTTTAAAGTTACTCAAAACTTTTCAGAAGTTATATATAGTGAAAACATTAGGATGAGAGAGAGACAGAGATAGAAAGATTATATTCAAATAATGGAGGGCATTTTCTCTAATTGTTTGAAGCATAAGTTAGCATAGCGAAACTTACTCATTGACTACCTGCCCTTTATTCTCAGAACCAAAGTAGCATGAAAAGTAGAAAATCAGAAAAGAAAATTTAACTCACCCACTCATTTTGCCTTTAAAACCCCCTGCTGCCAGTACTCTCTATTGACCAATTTAGTGGCACCCAACCACACACTGAAATATAACTATCTCCTGAAACAGTATTTATCAAATACTCTCTCTCAAACTTTTCACTCTACATTCTTTTGAGATACCAGCTATTAGTACCCAACCCTCTAACAGCACAGTGAAATTTGGAGTTATAATTCTCCAATGCAATGTGAAACTCTTCAAAGGAAATAGAAAGAGGGAAAGATTGTGGTAAAACCATTTTGATGGATATGGAGCTGAAAGAACTTTAGATTGCATGTAATATTCTAATTTCCCAGAAAAAATTAACATTTGCCAAAGAAATAGGCACCACCTCAGCTCAACAGACAACTCAATTAATGATATTGTCAATTAGGACCTGGAATTTTGATCAGGAGCCATGTACATCAATGTCCTCTCCAAGTATACATCTGAGATACAAAATTTACTATTGCCCAAACTGAAACTATGGGTGACATGAAACGTTCAACTCATATTGTTTCTTGGCAGAGGCTGGTTTTAATTTATCCCATTTCTTAGCAAATGTCTAGCTAATGTATATATAAAATGAATACTTTTTTTAAAAAAATCATAATTAGGAGACCATATAAAAGGCAAATTAACAAATGCCAAAATAATATTCTTCTAAAGATTCAGTACAAAACATATATTTTACTTGTGTTATATATAATTGAGACCAGTCTTAGAAAAAATACATAGAAAAAGATAAAATAATTTAGACCAAATGTAAATCTCTCTCGAAATATAAACATTTACTAGCAATTATCAAAATAGCATATATACTTAATTTAAAAAAATAAAGCAAATGGTGAAGGAGACCATCAGCAAACACAAGGTGAAGATCTAGGCTGGGATATTTTTATGCTTAAATAAAAATGTTTAATCATAGAACTCAATTATTCATATTTAATTAATAACAAAAATTATTTTAATAATAAAGCTTGTTTTTTACAGAACTGTATTTTTTAAAAGGATCATTGTATATTGCCTGTGAGAACTAAAGTGGTGGAAATTTCTTTAAAACAAAGCAAATTAACATGGCAATACCATTTTACTGAGAGGTGTACTTACTTCAACATGGCTTCTAGAAAAATTAGAAATAATAACACTATTAATCTAAAATATATATAATGCAATACATAAATAATAATGTTATAAATGACAGTTAATATTTCTTGACTGCTTTATACATAGCAGGAAATGAAATAAATATTTTTAAGTAAGTCTTGGGAATCAGAAGATTTTAGTTTCAGATTTGAGTTTTGTCACTTATTAGCTATATGACCTTAGGCAATAACTTAATCTCTGTATAATTTAGGAAGTTCACCTTTAAAGTGTAATAATAATAACAAATAACAAGAAGTGCGTTGTATAGATTAAATAAGCAGTACACATGGAAACACCTGCCAAAAAGCTTATTTTCCTTTCATTAGCATTTCTGATCTAAGAAATAGGCTGAAGCCTGGTTAATATTTTCAACTCAATGGTTTCAGTGTTTATATTTATTGTAAGATTTGCTGCCACTTTAAACATCGAAACAAACACTTAAATTTCAGAAGAAGTCAGTTTCTAAGTGTTGCTCAAAGATAAATTATATAAGCAAGGATATTTGTTCACAGCTACACTACACATTTAGAGTCAACACCAAATGCCTGCCTAAAGAGAAGAAAATAAGTAGGAAGTCAAATCATCAAAAAATGTCTCTTACGAATAGGAACATTCAAGACGTGGTAAGACACTTCAAAAGACAAAGGGATGCTGACTGCAATTGTGAGTCTTTTCTTCTTTTTTTCTCAAATCTCAAAAGATTAGAAACTAGAAAGGTGAAAATGTGTAATATGGGAAAATATAATTGAGACCATAGTCTTAGAAAAAATATGTAGAAAAAAGATAAAATGATTTAGATGAAATGTAAATCTCTCTCTTGAATAAGCAAGGCAATCAAGAATGAAGAGTTCATCTGAAACTTTAACAAGGTTAAAGGATGAACACTCTCCTAACTCATATAAACTTATTGCATTATACCTTGTTACCACACTCAAACAAGAACAATCCAAGAGAGGAAATGTAATGACTGTAGTAATTAATATGTATTTTAGTTATTGTTATAAAAGCTATTCCAAAATGAGTGGCATAAAATAACCATTTTGTTGTATGGGGCAGGAAATCTGACAGGGTACATCTAGGAACATTTTTGTGGTATCTGGAACTCAACTGAAAGACTTGACTAACTATAGGTGAGTTGTGCAACAGGGGACAAGAATTATCTAGGTTGAGATAACCTGTGGACCAGTATCAGCTAGGAATGGCATTCTACTTCTTTTATGAATTCAAAGACTCCTCTGTTTTATGAGGTATAATTAACATATAATAAACTGTAAATATGTAAAATATACAATTTGATATATAAACCATTGAACTTATCACCACAAATAAGATAATTAACATAGCCATTATCCCCAAAGTTTTCTTGTGCCTCATTTTAATTTCTTCCTTCTGTTTCTACCTACGTTATTATCCCTAGGTAACCACCCGTGTGGTTTGTGTCAGCATAGATCATTTTGCATTTTCTATAAGTTTATGTAAACAGAATCCTACTGTATGTACACACTTTTGTTCTGCTACTTTTACTTCCTGTATTTTGAGACTTATTCATTTGGTTGTTAAGTATTAATAGTCTATTACTTTTTAATGTGAAACAGTATTCCATTGTGGTAGGTCAATTTGCCCATTGACAACATTGGCTTGTTTTCAGTTTTTCTATTGTAAATGAAACGACTACTAACATTTGTGTTTTTGTGTGGATACATGCATTTCTTTCTCTTAAGTAAATAGAAATAGGAAGAGAATATCAAGTATTATGGTAAATGTGTAGGCAGTATTTTAAGAAACCGCCCATTTTTTTTTTTTTTTTTTTTTGGAAATTGTGCACCATTTTATCTTGCCAGTAGCAGTGTATGAGAGTTTCAGTTGTTTCACATCACTGCTAACACTTGTTTTGCTGAGGCTTTTTAATTTTAGCTGCTCTAGTAGGTATATAATGGTATTGCATTGTGGTTTACTGTTCATTTCTTATATGACTGTGTTGAGTATTGTTCTTGAGTTTACTAGCCATTATTATATTTTATGTGCTGAAGTCAGCTCAAATCTTTTGCTTGGTATTTTTAAATTGCTTTATCTTAATAGTGAGTTCAAAGAATTCACTATATACATGCTATATGAAAGTCCTTGTCAGATATGTTTTAGAAATAATTAAAGTCCATTCTGTAGCTTTCTGGTCTACTGGTATGACAGCACCTTTGCTATGAACTATGTTTGCAGGCATTTGAAAAAATATGTATTTAGTTGTTATTGGACAGAGTGTCCCATAAATATCAATTAGGTAAAGTTGACTGATAGTAGTGTTCACATCATCTGTATCCTTATACATTTACTGTCTACTTTTTCTGGTATTGAAATCTGACTATTAATTATAGACTTTTTTCATGTATTTTAAATTCTGTATTAGGTTCATGAACATTAGAATGTTATGTGTTCTTGATTAATTGGCCCTTTTGCCACTAATAAATAACTTTAGTTTTCTCTGTTATTATTCCTCCTAGAAATTTCTGAGTCCGAGATGAATTTTACCACTATAGATGTCTAATTGATTAGTGTAGTCATGGTGTATCATTCCCCTTCTTTTCACTTTTAACCTATTTATTTCTTTAGATTTAAAGTTGATTTCTTGCTGACAGCCTATATTGAGGCTTTCTCTTTCATTTGATCTGACAGTCTTTACTTTATAACTAGGATATTTAGACAATTTATTTGTAATATGATTATTGATATGGCCAGATTTAAATTTACCAACTGGGCAGTAGTTCTTAACTTTTTCCATCTGTATTTGTTTCCTTTCCTTCACCACCCCAATCCTTTGTTTTTGCCTTTCTTCTGGATTAATTAAGTAATCTTATGATTGCATTTTATCTCCTTTTTGGCTTATTGCCTATGTTGGGAGTCCCCAAGACCACCATCAGGTTAAATGATTCACTCAAAAAACTCACAGAACTCAGAAAACTATTGTACTCGTGCTTGCTGGTTATTATAGTTAAAAGATACATATTAAAATAAGCAAAGGGAAAATGTGCATATAGCAGAATTCCAGAGAAACCACGTGTGATCGTCCAGTTTTGTGCTCCAAGTGAAGTTGTACAGAGAGTGCTTAATTCCCCCAGAAATGATGTTTGACAACACATGGAGTGTTGCTATCTAGGAAAGCTCACCTGAGCCCTGTTGTCCAATCTTTTATTTCAGGTCAGTTACTGTAATAGTCCATTTTCATGCTGCTAAAAAAGACATAACTGGGACTGGGCAATTTACAAAAGGAAGAGTTTTATTGGATTCACAGTTCCAAATTGCTGGGGAAGCCTCACAATCATGGTGGAAGGTGAAAGGCACTTTTTACATGGCAGTGTCAAGAGAGAAGAGAGCATGTGCAAGAAAACTCTCCTTTTTAAAACTATCAGATCTTATGAAACTCATTAGCTATCATGCAAACAGTACATGAAGGACCTGCTCGCATTATTCAATTATCTCCTACCAAGTCCCTCCCATAACACATGGGAATTATGGGAACTATAAGATGAAATTTGGGTGGGGACACAGAGCCAAACCATATCAGTCACATAGGTATAAAACACCTGGATGACTGACCTTAACTAATCAGTTTTTAGCCCTAGGTTTCCAGGCCTGTGATGGCAGGGCCTGCTGCAAAGGTTTCTGACATGCTCTAGAGATATTTTTCCCATTGTCTTGGTGATTAACATTTGGCTCCTTGTTACATATAAAAAATATCTTTAGCTGGCTTGATTTATCCTCGGAAAATGGGATTTTTCTTTTCCATCATATTGTCAGGCTGCAAATTTTCTGAACTTTTATTCTCTATTTCCCTTTTAAAACTGAATGCCTTTAACAGCATCCAGGTCACCTCTTGAATACTTTGCTGTTTAGAAATTTCTTCTGACACATACCCTGAATCATCTCAAGTTCAAAGTTCCACCCATTGAGGGCAGGGCAAAATGCCAGCAGTCTCTTTGCTAAAACATAACAAGAGTCACCATTACTCCAGTTCTCAACAAGTTCCTCATCTCCATCTGAGACCACCTCATCTGGATTTCGTTGTCCATGTTATTATCAGTATTTTGGTCAAAGCCGTTCA
Organism: Homo sapiens; assembly: GCF_000001405.40. Lineage (NCBI taxonomy): Eukaryota > Metazoa > Chordata > Mammalia > Primates > Hominidae > Homo > Homo sapiens. The sequence continues at coordinate 102,319,380 of NC_000006.12, read as the reverse complement.
ACAAGTCTCTAGGAAGTTCCAAACTTTCACACATTTTCCTTTCTTCTTCTGAGCCTCCAAACTGTTTCATACTCCACCTGTTACTCAGTTCCAAAGTTGCTTCCACATTTTTGGGTATCTTTACAGCAGCACCCCACTCTACTTGTACCAATTTATTGTATTAGTTTGTTTTCACGTTGCTGATAAAGACATACCAAAGACTGGGCAATTTACAAAAGAAAGAGGTTTATTGGACTCACAGTTCCACATTGCTGGGGAGGCCTCACAATCATGGTAGAAGGTGAAAGGTGCTTTTTACATGGCAGCAGCAAGAGAAAAGAGAGCTTGTGTAGGGAAACTCCTCTTTTTAAAACTATCAGATCTGGTGAGATTCATTTGCTATCACAAGAACAGCATGGGAAAGACCTGCCCCCATGATTCAATTATCTCCCACTGGGTCTCTCCCATAACACATGGGAATTATGGGAGGTAGAAGATGATATTTGGATGGGGACACAGAGCCAAACCATACCAGTAACATAGGCATAGAACACCTGATGACTGACCTTGACTACTCAGTTTTTAGCCACCACCCCCACAGAGGTCAAACTGATATAGTGTCCCAGGGTCCCAGAAGAACAAAAGCTGGCATTCAGCATAAATGAAATTGTTAGCATAAATTATCTGGCGTGGTCCAAGACCCCAGATTTACAATATTTTTCAGGCAGGATATTCCAGGAGTTTATTTGTTGTCTCCTAGGAGCTGATCAAGATCCAGTCATTTGTTTTTAATGTGCAGAGTTTAAACACCCCAAGATTACTGCAAAGCACATATAACTCTTAGTATGTGTGCTTACTTTAGAGTTTATAAACTCTAAATATAAATTTTAAATTATCGTAGTCTACTTTAAGGTAATATTATACATTTTTGCCTATAAGTATTAGTAACATATAAAACCATGAAGCATTCTACTTAAAAGGAAGCAATTGTCAAAACCAGCCCAACAATACGAAATATGGTAAAGATTAAATGGAGTGGAAAAATATAACATGGGCATGTAAATAGTTACAATTAAATTGAATAATGATTTGCCATTTTTTTAGATTGAACATAAGCATAGTTTATAATTTTGTTGTCCCATTTTAGATGTATATCTTAGATAAACATATACATATTCATATACATAAGCTATATGCTTATAGTAACATTGCTTATGGCAGCAAAACTATCCTTCAAAAAGAGAATGAATATTAACAAAAGACTATTACAGGGCTGTTAAAATAAGCCACAGCAATATGTATCGACAATTATGAAATGTATATATAAAATGTGATGCAAATTTGTTCAAAAAATTTAAGCATCTTTAGAGATTAATATTTACAAATGTGTACATATATGTAATTGAATATAGGTAGAAAAATAATGCAATGAATAATTCAATACTATATTTTGCTCTGGGGAGAAATGTTAGCTGAACTAAATTCAAGAAGTGTGAAAATGGAACTTCAGGAGTACTGATATATTCTCCTCTCTTAGGTTGGAAACTGGGTTTGGTTAGAGGTTTGGTGATAAAAATAAAAGAAAACTAAAGAAACAAAGGTCTCATTGAAATAAGATTCTATCAAAGAATCACAAAAATGATGGCTTTATTTTAGTAAAAGTAAAAAGCAGGAACTGATCCCTCACAAAGCAATAAGAAAGTCAGCCACGTCTCTAATTCTCCATTCCTCCATATCCCCACCTGAGATCACCAACTATATTGGGTTAGGACAATCAAACAAAAATAATAAATATCCTGGTCAGGAGGTCAAAAAGTATTAAGAACATGACCATATAACAAATATAATTAAACAGTTGCAGATATAAAAATTACATGAAACAGAAGTTCAAAATTCAAGACAGAACCAGACAAAGAAAGTAAGAAGGAGCTCAGGACAGAGGCTAATAATAAAAAGAAAAAAATCACTTTAGTAATAAAAAAGAGATCAATTAAAGGCAACAAAAGGAAAATAACTATAATACTGAAAAGCACAATAAAGGATAAAGAGGAGATGAAGAAACAAATAATTAGGCCAAATATGTATATAATTAAAAATAAAGAAAAAGATAAAAGAGTTCAGAAAAAATATGAATATTTAGAAGATCTAGCATACAAAACAGTGGAGTATCTGAACAAGAAAATCATAGCAAAAAACAGAACTACCAATTACTATTACTACTAATTCAAAAAAAATTACTGTTAATGTACTACTAATTCAATAAAACTTTTTAGGAATAAACAAAGACTTGCATCTATAGATGTACATAAAATATCAAACAAAGAGTCAGTTCTGATACATACATATTAAACTATGAGAATTAAATATTTTTAAATAACAAAATATGAGACCCTAGGCATCCAGGTGATCCAAGTCCTAGATAAAGTATAGAAAATCATGATGGCAGTATGTATCCATGAGTAACGTACAAAAATTACAGCAGCTTTTCAACATATCCAAAAAAATTCATATATATGATATGTGAGTTAAGGATTATAGACCCAGATAAACTCTTTTCATTTGTCTAAGTTTTAAAAATAACACTTAAATGTGCAGGAACACAGGGAATAATGTACCTATGACCTAGGAATCTAACCTAGTGTCTCAATTTTGGACTCTTGTTTGCATTCTAGGACTAATAATTAATGATGAGATCTGGAACATGTAAGGTTACAAAGTGAGCATGGAATATTTATTATGTGAAAGAAAGTAAGAAAACAAAAGGTAGTGAGGATAGAAAAAAAAAAGACACAGAACCCAGTTTGAAGTGCCTCATACTGGCAAAAGTTACAGCTTAAGCATTAAAAATAATGCCTTTAATTAATAGCTATAAATAAAACTTAAAAATTCTGTGCTTCCATACAGATATGCAAAAAAAGAAAAGAAAGAAAAACTTCCCTGACAATCATTTGTAGTAATTATGATACTAGCTCCTTAATCTGAAAATAGGTGATTAAAAGAAACAAATTAAGCTTTAATTCTCAATCTCAGTTGATGAGGACAGCTTTTCTTATGGAAGAAAGCCAGCTAATTAACACATAAGAAATAGCATAATTTTTTAATGTCCATTTTGCAGTGTCTGATAAAACAGTTTACTCAGGCCAGGATTATCAATAGAAACCATTAGATATTCACGTGGTGCGAAAATAACACCCTACACATTTTTTGCTATTCACAAGGTGAAATGTGTACTTTAAAATTGAAAGATATGTTAGTTACCATCTCAATCAAGTAATGTTATATAGCATTGCTAACAGATGGTCTGCACAACCTCATGTGTTTCCAGATGGACCATCACCTGTGAAGGGTTCACACCAAATAAAGCTTCACCTGAGTCTAATCAATTTTTTAAACCTACCTTCCATTTTCTTGGAATTAACACAAGATGGAGAAATCCATTTAACACTTCAAGACACAATCAGACAAATCCAGACTGTGTGACATTTTACAAGACAACAGCACTTGTCTCTTCAAAGAAGTAATGCCGTGTGGAAAATGTAAGGGAGTGGTCTGTTTCTAGATTAAAGGAGGCTAAAGAAATATTTAGTATACAAGGTGTGAACATTGAGAAAATCTTAGGCATTTTTGAGGCAATTATGATAATTTGAATATGGACTGAATATTAACCATTTTAGAGAAATAGTAATAATAGTCTTTGCTTAAATGGAATTATTATTATTTATGAAATATCATTTTTTAGTAGATGTAGGCTGAATTGTTGTTTCATGTATATGTAGCAAATGTGGCAATATGTTTAAAAATATTGTATCTAGCTGACATGCATTTAGATGTTCATTGAACTAACCACTCAGCTTGTCTATATTTTTGAAACTTTTTATTTTAAAATGTTGAAAAATTTTCTACCTCCAGCTTTTCTGTCTTCATAGACTCTTCACATTGCTGATGGAATTACCTTACTAAAGTAGAGATTCAATCAAGCTGTTTATTTCTCTAGGCTTAATTTAAGTAGTACCTCTTCTGAGATGCTTTATTTAACTCTCATAAATAATCAATTGTGTGTGTGTGTGCGTGTGTGTGTGTATGTAAGATCCCATAATTGCTTCATCTGACAATTACACAGTCCATATTCTATTTCAGTCTAGTTTTATATTTGTTTTTTAAATTATTGCTTCTTAGCTCTAATGTCTTTTGGTATTCAACTGAACTCTTAAGATTTAGTCTTTCTAAAGATCAATATTTAAGATCTATAATATCCCAGGCTCTAAAAAGTTTATTTTCTTAAGTTACTAGATTATCTAATGTAATGTGTCTGTGTTCAATTTGTTACACAAACATATTGTATATTAAAAATAATAAGCACACTGGAATAAACACATTCCAAATGTTTTTTAAAACACTTTAGCATATTATTTGAACATGGAATCAAATAACAATACCACTAAATCAAAAAACATTGTAATTATTGTATCAAATACTAAATGCAGATTTTATAATATTTATTGAAAAAATGTCAAAGGTTTAATACATTAGTTAAGATGAGAAATATCTACATTAAATTTATTATCAAAGAGTATGATACACAGACTCATACATTCAGACAATGTGTTACTATGTAGACTGAGACTCAGAATTTTAAGTTTTTCTTTTAAAACTTTTTTTTCTGACATTACTAGACTTTGTTTTTTACTTTTGTTTTAGGTTTGGGGTCTCATGTGAAGGTTACACAGGTAAACACCTGTCACAGGGATTTGTTGTACATGTTATTTCACAAACCAGGTAGTAAGCCCAGTATCTAATAGTTATCTTTTCTGTCCCTCTCCCTCCTTCCACCCTCCCCACCCAGTAGACCCCAGTGTCTGTTGTTTCCTTCTTTTTATTCTTAAGTTCTTATCGTTTATCTCTCATTTGTAAGTGAGAACATACGTATTTGGGTTTCTGTTCCTGGAATATTACAGATATGAGATGATGCCCCTGAATATGATGCCCCTGAAGATGATGGAAATTCCCATCATCTAAGCTACTCTAATATGATTCTGTTTGTGGGCCATTGAACCTATTGCTTCAGGCTTCCTAAATTGTTATTATTATTGACATTTTAATACTGTACTTTGTTGAGTGAAAATTTAGGTAATGAGTGACAATTTAGGTTAATGAGAAGTTTTGTATTTACTTAGTTCTCATTGATGTTATAGTTTGGATGACAAATCAATTCACTTAATATACAGATCTAAAAAAAAACACTACCTTATATGTGCTATTGTTTTCCCTTATTTTTTGCTGTCTCACTTGTATCTTTCTTTAATATATTTTCTTGTCATGCTCGTATTTCAGTAAGCTCCCAGCCACAGTTGCAACCATACAAGAGTCCTTAAAATGAAACAAGCACACTCCTTTTGCTGACCTTCCTGGCCTTAGCTTAGAATTAGACAACTTATTCTCTCTCTTATACCCATGGCAGAGCTACTGCCATCATGAAAAGCTGCCACATCCATATGCATTAGACAAGGCATAAATCACTGGCTGCTATGTAATGCTTTTCTAGCAGATAGAACTTGCTCACTGCTTACATCTTAACTCAGGAGACAAACAAAAGGCTTAAGAAGTCTTCTATTTGTTCTGAGGTCTTAGTTTACTCTGCCAAGTAGAACTACAAAGGATTTATATTTCTATATACTTTTTGATGATGATTCTTCACAGAAAATAATTTATATTGCTTCCCTCCTGATATGTTCCCTCTTACTCAAAAGAAATACACTTAGAAATAATAGGTATAGTTAAATTAAACAGACACTCAAATATGCTCCCAGACTCTAGTCTTTCCTCTATAGGCTAACTCTCTATAAGGATTCTGTGATTATACAACATAAATAAACATTACTGTCTAAATTGGTAGTGAAACAAATGAGAAGGCAGTCAGGCCTTTTTCTCTTATTAAATTATATTATTCCATAATTGAGGAATAGCAGCATACCTATACTGAAACATTCTTATGGTATCAACCACAATGACAGTAAAACTATGACCTTTTCTATAATCTTTTCTATTTTATAATGTATACGATGGAATCTGTGATATATGTAAATATTTAATTTTACATTTGCTAATAGTAGGACTGAGAGACCTCTTAGGTCAAGTAATTTCTCAATGTTAAGAAAACTATTAATTGACAGACCACTCTTTTATCTTCCAGATGCCACTTTTCTAGAGGCAATATACGATTATGCTAATGATTTTCATTCCGAAATCAGACTGTCTGGGTTTTTGTTTTTGTTTGTTTTCTTATTACAAATTCTAACAATTAGTAGTTGTGTAACTTTTGACAGTTTACTTAAACTTTCCATGTCTCAGTTTTCTCATATCTCATGAGATAATTAACAACTGCTCTGCACGCTTGATAGAATCAGTAAAGTGAATAGTTGTTGTGTAGGGGAGGGTAATGGGACTGTGTGCCGTTTGGTTTTCCTTGATTTGGTTTGCCTTCTTTTGTTTTCTGATGTCCTTTCTTTATTATTGTTGTGGAATTTTACCTCACTCTTTCTAGTCACCAGTGTTATACCACAGAAGCCACTGCCCAGATTTGTACTTTGTTCCATGTTCTTCAAGGCAGCAGGCATTTGAGCCGGTGCAGCATGGCAGCCTATGGTGGAGCCATTGTGAAAGGAGTGAAGGAAGGGGATGTGTTCAGGGACTCCCATGGTCCAGGGGGAGTAGGAGTGGAACCTGGCATGTACTAATTATGTATTATATGTCCAAACTACCTCACACACGTGTTTTTTTAATTTAAATTCCAAAATCCCCAGAACAAAAGGAAAAGAATGGAAATAAAAAGATTTTTCCTGTAGTTGTATATAGGTCTTCTGTTTAACTAACTAATGTTGTATTTGTCTATAAAGTATAAATATGTATTGCTGTCTTTATTTGGATATGTCAAAAGGCATATACATAGATGGGAATGCCATGTTATGGCAAAACTGGTACAATTAAACTCTGACAAAAGTAGAAAGAACAGTCATTACTATTTCTCATACATGATAATTGGGTAGGCAAAAGGATCTACTCTTCTTCTAACCTCTAGCATTTTATTTACTTCACATTAAGTCTACACTAAAAGCATCCTTGAGGCCCCTCAGGTGTCTTAACCACATCCTCATGGCCCTCCTATATTCTGTCTTCTGTCCACTGCCCATTCTCAAAGCAAATGCCATGCAGTTTTTGCTTACTTTTGTTTTGTTATTTTAATGGCAGTACCCCATACCAAATTTCTATGTCAAATATTATTTCTATGTAACAAATTACCTCTAAACTTGACATTGTAAAACAACCACTTATTTTGCTCATGATTTTGTGAGACAGGGATTTATAACAACTAAGCTAGGCAGTTCTCAATTGTTATCTCTCTTGTAGTCACTTGTCAGCTGGGGCTCTAGTCATCAGAACTTTCTAGTGGGCTGGACCATTAAGATGGCTCACTTGCATGTCCAGCAGGCTGTAAGCTGAGAGCTCAGCTGAGGCTGTTGATAAGAGCATCGGGGCATTGCCTCCCCAGCATGGTGGTGTCAGACTTCTTATACAGCCTGTTTAGGATCCAAGTAGCAAAAGAGGCAGAAGTTACCTTGCCCTTCATGACTTAGCCTCATAAGTAACACAGCATCAACTCTTGTCACATATTGTAGGTTACAAGTGTGACACAAGCCCACCCAGAATCAAGGGAAAGGAATATAAATCTCATCTTTTGATGGGAGGGTGGAGAGCTTAAAATGTAAAAATGAGTATGTGGGATTGGGAGTGTCACTGTGACCACATTTTGTAAAATATAATCTGTGAAAATATGGAATACACTTTTAGTCTTTAAAAAGTTAGTACTTTTAAATTCTGTTCTTCTCCCTAAAAAATATACTTTAAACTTTCCTAGACCAGTAATTGTTTAAATATACAAGACATAAATGATTCTCCATGTATGTGTAAATATTTTTATTTTATTATAGCAAATAATTATGTTGGCAAGCAATAAGTTTGAAAATGAAGGAAGCTTATGAAAAAATTGTGTTATAATGAGTGTAATGTCTCTTAAAATTTGATAATAAAATATAATATAGAAATCATTTCAACATAACTTCCTTGACATACATTTTTTAAGCCTTATACTTTTTCTTTTAATCAAACACCAGAATAACAACAAGGAAGTCTTTCTAGAAATCTCTTCATCCACATTGCACTAATTACCTCAAGATCAAGATTAATCAGGAGCTGGGTAAATAGTATTAGAAGATATTAATATTGTGAAACCACATGGTCATTGCAAGAGATACATAGGATATTTTAAATTAATTTGACCTATTCTCAACAAATTAATGGAGTTGCAAAAGATTTCAGTGGTAAACACTTACATACCTGGGAATTTTACAAGATAGTAAAAGGAGCTGTGGTGTGCAAAATTAGATTTATGGATCAAAATGTTACTACGTGTTACAGAGCTTTTGAAATTAATAATTATACAACTACATTTTCCTAGATGGCACAGCTACATTTTTGACATGATGAAAGTTTATCTAGCTAACAATGCATTTTAAATTGGAATCATAATAAAGTAATATGCTCTGTTTAAAAGCATGTGTTATTTCAATGGTTTAACAATTTCACACTTCCAACAAAAATATAAACAAGCTCTAGGTGAACAGGCTGGTATTTTGTATCAATTATGACTATCTTAGATAATATGGAAAAACATAACAAAAACAAAAGGTAGGCTTATCTTTCATGATGGTTGAAACCCACAGTGAGAAGTAGCTAATTTAGGAGACCAAAGCTTGGAGCTTGGTAAAGTGAAAAGCTGAGAACAGACACCGAAGATTAACAAAAATAAATAAATAAATAAAGCTGAAGAGAGTTTTGTTTGAGAAAATTTGATACCTTTTTGGGAGTATTTAAGTAGCAGAATCAGCAGCAGATGTGTATTAATTTTTTTAATACTGTTTCTTCAGCCGTAGATTAGTATAAGCAAAAAAGATGGCAAGAAAAGGAAAAATGACCCAAGATCCTGGGTAATAATGAATATTAAAAATCTAAAACAAGCAACAAAATAAATGAGATGAAAATGAGAGCTATGGTTAATAATACGGTCCAGTTTCAGATTAGAGTTGTGTTTCTTTTGAATTCTAACATCTTTCATCAGTTGTTTAACCAAGAGTTAAACAAAAAACATTATATAAATGTCCAAGAATATTATTTTTATACATTTGAAAGCACAGTTAAGTAAGCCAAACATATTCAAATGAGGTTAGATATCTCTGGTTTCCACTTCTATCCTTGTTGGATATATCTTTTCTACTTAACCCAATTATTTGTATATGGTATGACTATTTAATTCATGACAAACTTTCATACCAAAGGGAGAAACTAAAATGACCTATTTATAATTTCTACCAAAATCATACATTAGGTAATTAGGAAATCTTATCCTGTTTCTATTTTATAAGTAGTTCTGTTTTTTATTTATTTATTTATTTATTTATTTATTTATTTATTTATTTATAGAGAGGGGTCTCACTCTATCATCCAGGCTAGAGTGCAATGGCATGATCACAGCTCACTGTACCCTCAAACTCCTGGGATCAAGGAATCCTCCTGCCTCAGCTGCCCTAGTAGCAGGGACTATGGACATCCATGTCACCATGTGCCCTTAATTTTTTAATGTTTTCGCAGAGATGGGTCTTGCTATGTTGCCCAGGTTGGTCTCAAACTCCTGGCCTCAAGCAATCCTCCTGCTCAGAACTTTTTTATTAATACACGTATTTTTATATATTTATGGGGAACATGCAAAATTTTGTTACATGCGATGAATGTGTAATCATCAAGTCATGGTATTTAGGGTATCCATCATCTCCAGTGTTTTTCATTGCCGTATGTTAGAAACATTTCCAGTCTTCCATTCCACCTGTTTGGAAATATATAATACATTGTCATTAACTATATCACTGATATGGTTTTGCTGTGTCCCCACCCAAATCTCATCTTGAATTGTAACTACCACAATTCCCATGTGTTGTGGGAGGAATCTGGTGGGAGGTAATTGAATTATGGGGTGAGTCTTTCCTGTGCTGTTCTCATGATTGTGAGTATGTCTCATGAAACAGATGGTTTTAAAAACAGGAGTTGCTCTTCACAAGCTCTTTCTTTTTGCCTGCTTCCATCCATGTAAGATGTGACTTGCTCCTCCTTATCTTCCACCATGATTGTGAGGTTTCCCCAGCCATATGGAACTCTAAGTCCATTAAACCTCTTTCTTTGGTGAATTGCCTAGTCTTAGGTATGTCTTTATCAGCAGCATAAAAATGAATGAATACAGTAAATTAGTACTGAGAGTGGGGTGCTGCTGTAGATACCCAAAAATGTGGAAGTGATTTTGGAGATGGGTAATAGGCAGAGCTTTGAACAGTTTGGAAGGCTCAGAAGAAGACAGGATAATGTGGGAAAGTTTGAAACTCCCTAGAGACTTGTTGAATGGCTTTGGCCAAAATGCTGATAATGATATGGACAATGAAATCCAGTCTGAGGTGGTCTCAGATGGACATGAGGAACATGTTGTGAACTGGAGCAAAGGTAACTCTTGTTATGTTTCAGCAATGAGCCTGGCAGCATTTTGCCCCTGCCCTAGAGATTTATGAAACTTTGGACTTGAGAGAGATGATTTAGGGTATCTGGCAGAAGAAATTTCTAGGTAGGAAAGTATTCAAGATGTGACTTGGGTGCTGTTAAAAGCATTCAGTTTTATAAGAGAAGCAGATCATAAAAGTTTGGAAAATGTGGAGCCTGACAATGCTACAGAAAATAAAATCCCATTTTCTGGGGAGAAATTCAAGCCAGCTGCAGACATTTGCATAAGTAATGAGGACCTGAATGTTAATCACCAAGACAATGGAGGAAAATATCTCCAGGGCATGTCAGAGGTCTTCACAGCAGCCCCATCCATTACAGGCCTGGAGGCATAGAAAGAAAAAGTGTTTTTGTGGGCCAGGCCCAGGGTCTCCTGCTGTGTGCAGCCTAGGGACTTGATGCCCTGCGTCCCAGCTGCTCTAGCCATGGCTGAAAGGGGCCAACAAGCCAACATAGAGCTTGGAGTGTGGCTTCAGAGGGTACAAGCCTCAAGCCTTGGCAGCTTCCATGTGATGTTAAGCCTGACAGTGTGCAGAAGTCAAGAATTGTGGTTTGGGAACCTGCGCCTAGATTTCAGAAAATATGTGGAAGCACCTGGATGTCTAGGCAGAAATTTTCTGCAGTGGCAGGGCACTCATGGAGAACTTCTGCTAGGGTGATGCAGGAGGAAAATGTGGGGTTTGAGCCCCCACACAGGGTCCCTACTGGGACACCACCTTGTGGAGGTGTGAGAAGAGGGCCACCATCCTCCAGACCCCAGAATGGTAGATTCAATGACAGCTTGCACTGTGTGTCTGAAAAAGCTGCAGACACTCAACGACGGCCCATGAAAGCATCCAGGGGGGAGGTTTCACCATGCAAAACCACAGGGGTGGAGCTGCCCAAGACCATGGGAACCCATCTCTTGCATCAGCATGACCTGGATGTGAGACATGGAGTCATGGGAGATCATATTGAAGCTTTAAGATTTGACTGTCCCACTGGGTTTCAGACTTGCATGAAGCCTGAAGCCCCTTTGTTTTGGTCAATTTCTCCCATTTGGAAAGATGGTATTTACCAAATGCCTGTACCCACATTGTATCTAGGAAGTAACTAACTTGCTTTCGATTTTACAGGCTCATAGGGAGAAGGGACTTGCCTTGTCTGGATGAGACTTTGGACTGTGGACTTTTGAGTTAATGCTGATGAATTAACTCTTTATGGGACTGTTGAGAAGTCATGATTGGTTTTGAAACGTGAGGACGAGATTTGGGAGGGTCCGGGGTGGAATTATATGGTTTATCTACATCCCAACCCAAATCTCATCTTCAATTGTAACTCTTAAAATTCCCACGTCATGGGAGGAACCTGATGGAAGGTAATTATGGGGGCAGGTCTTTCCTGTGCTGTTCTCATGATAGTGAATAAATATCACAAGTTCTGATGAATTTAAAAATGGGAGTTTCTCTGCACAAGGTCTCTCTTTTCACCTGCTGCCATCCATGTAAGATGTGACTTCCACCATGATTGTGAGACCTCCTCAGCCTTGTGAAACTGTAAGTCCATTAAACATCTTTCTTCTGTAAACTGCCCAGTCTCGGTTATGTCTATCAAGAGCATGAAAATGGACTAATACAGTCACCCTACCTGCTATCAAACATTATAACATTCCTCTATGTAACTGTATGTTTGTATTAACCAACCTGTCTTCATTCCCACTACCTTCAATCACATACCCTTCCCAGCCTCTGGTAACTACCATCCTACTTTCTACCTCCACGAGATCAATTTTTAAGCTCTAAAATATGAGTGAGACCGTATGATATTTGTCTTTCTGTACCTAGTTTATTTCACTTAACATCATAACTTCCAATTTCATCAATGTTGCTGCAACTGACAGAATTTCATTATTTTTTATGGCTGAATAGTATTTCATTCTGTATATATGCCATGTTTTCCTTATATGTTAATCCAATGATAAACACTTAGGTTGATTCCATATCTTTATTTTTGTAAAGAGCACTGCAATAAACATGGTGGGTACAGATATCCATTTCTTACACTGTTATGGGTACACAGTAGGTGGATATATTTATGGGATACATGAGCTATTTTAACACAGGCATACAATGTGTAATAATCACATCAGGGTAAATGGGGTATTTATCACCTCAAACATTTATCATTTATTTGTGTTACAAACATTTCAATTATACTCTTATTTTAACATGTAAAATAGATTATTGTTGACTGTATTCACCACGTTGTGCTATGAAAAACTAAATCATTTTATCTAACTATATTTTTTTAACAATTAACCATCCCCAATTCCCCTATCCATTACCCTTCCCAGGCTCTAGTAATCATCATTTTATACTTTATCTCCATGAATTCAATTATTTTAATTCTTAGCTCTTACAAAAAAATGAAAGGATGTGAACTTTGTCATTTTGTGCTTGGCTTATTTTACTTATAATGCCCTCCAGTTGCATCTATGTTGTGGCAGAGAACAGGATTTCATTCTTCTGTATGGCTAAGTAGTACTGTATTTTCTTTATCCATTCATCTGTTTATAGACAAAGGTGGCTTCCAAATCTTAGCTATTGTGTACAGTGGTGCAATAAACATGGGAGTGCAGATGACTTTTTGATGCACTATTTTCCTTTCTTTGGGGGGTATACCTAGAAATGAGATTGCTGGATCACATGGTAGCTCAATTTTTAGTTTTTTGAGGAACTTCCAAACTGTTCTCCATAGTGATTGTACTAACTTACGTTCTCAACAACAGTGTATGAGGGCTCCATTTTCTCCCTTTTTTGCCAGCAATTGTTATTGCCTGACTTTTGAATGAAAGCCATTTTAACTTGAGTGAGATGATATCTCTGTAGTTTTGATTTGCATTTCTCTGATGATCAGTGATATTAAGCACATTTTTATACACCTGTTTACCATTTGTATGTCTTATTTAGATAAATGGCTGTTCAGACTTTTGCCCATTTTTAAATCAGATTGTTAGATTTTTTCCAATAGAGTTGAGGTTCTTATTTATTCTGGCTATTAATCCTTTGTCAGATAGATGGTTTGTAAATATTTTCTGCCATTCAGTGGGTTGTCTTTTCACCTTGTTGATTGTTCTTTGTGCTATGGAGATGCTTTTTACTTTGATATGACCCCATTTGTTCATTTTTGCTTTGGTTGTCTGTGCTTTTGGTGTATTGCTCATGAAATCTTTGCTCAGTCTCATGTCCTAGAGAGTTCCTCCAATGTTTTCTCGTAACAGTTTCATTGTTTGAGGTCTCAAATTTAATTATTTAATCCATTTTAATTTGATTGTTATAAATGGCAAAAGATAGGGGTTTTGTTTCATTATCCTGCATATGGATACTAGTTTTCCTGGCATCATTTAGTGAATCGACTATTTTTTTCCCAATGTAGGTCCTTGGCACCTTTGTTAAAAAATTAGCTCACTGCAGATATATAGATTTATTTCTGGGTGTTCTGTTCTGTTCCATACGTCTATGTGTCTGTTTTTATGCCAATACCATGCTGTTTTAGTTAATAAAGGTCTGTAGTATATTCTGAAGTATTATAATGTAATTGCTCCAGTTACATTATCTTTGCTTGGGATGCCTTTGGCTATTCTGGATTTTGTAGATCCCCATACATTTTAGAATTATTATTTTTTCTATTTCTGTGAAGAATGTTACTGGTATGCCAATAAGGATTGCATTGAATCTGTAGAATGCTTTGGGTAGTATGGACTTTTAAAAAATATAGATCTTTCAATCCATGCACGTGGAGTACTTTTCCATTTTTTGTGTCCTCATAAGTTTCTTGCATCAATATTTTATAATTATTATTGTAGGTATCTTTCACTTCTTCAGTTAATTCCTAGGCATTTTATTCTATTTGTAGCCATTATAAATAAGATTACTTTCCTGATACTTTCTCAGATTGACAGCTCTTGGCATATAGAAATGCTACTAATTTTTGTATGTCTCTTTTGTAATCTCCAACTTTACTGAATTTATCAACACTAATAGTTTTTTGGTGGAGTCTTTAGGTTTTTCTAAATAAAAGATTACATCATCTGAAAATACAAGTAAATTGACTTCTTATTTTTCAGTTTGGATGCTCTTTATTTTTTCCCCTTTTCTGATTGCTCTAGCAAGGACTTCTAGTTCTATGTTGAATAACAGCATCCTTATTGTGTTCCATATCTTAGAGAAAATGCTTTCAGTTTTCCCCAGTTTAGCATGATACTACCTGAGGGTCTGTGATATAAGGCTTTTATTATGTTGAGGTATGTCCCTTCTATATGCAGTTTTTTAAAAGTGTTTTTAACATGGAGGAATATTGAATTTTATCAAATGCTTTTTCAGCATCAATTGAAAAGATTATATGTTATTTGTCCTTCATTCTGTTGAGATGATGGGTAACATTGATTGATTCACAGATGTTGAACCATCCTTCCATCCCTGGGATGAATTCTACTTGGTGATGATGAATCATCTTTTGAATGTGCTGTTGAATTCAGTTTTGCTAGTATTTTGTTGAGGATTTCCGCATCAATGGTCATCAAAGATATTGGCCTGTAGTTTTTTTGTTTTTGTTTGTTTGTTTGTTTTTGATGATGTGTCTTTGTCTGGTTTTGGTATCTAGGTTATACTGGCATTGTTGAATCACTTTGGAAGTACTCCTTCCTCCTTTATTTTATGGAATATATTGAGTAAGATTGGCGTTAGTCCTTTCTCATATGTTTGATAAAATTCAGCAGTGAAGCCTTCTGTCCCTGGGCTTTTCTTTGATGGGAGACTTTTTATTATAGGCTTTGATCTCATTTCTTGTTATTGGTCTATTCAGCTTTTTGATTTCTTTATAATTCAATCATGGTATGTTGTATGTGTTTAGAAATTTATCCATTTCTTCTTGGTTTTCCAATTTACTGATATATAGCTGCTCATTTTAGTCTCTAAAGATCCCTTGAATTTCTGGGGTATAAGATGTAATACATTTTTTAGTCTCTCACTTTTTCTTCTCTCTTCCATTCTTGGTCTGTCTAAAGGTTAGTAAATTTTGTTTATTTTTAAAATAAACCTACTTTTCATTTCATTGATATTTTGTATTTTTTGTTTCAATGTTATTTATTTATGCTGTGATTTTTATTTATTTATTTTTTTACTAATATTTGGGTTGCTTTGCTCTTGCTTTTCTAGTTCTTGAAGATGCCTCACTAGTTTCTTTATTTGAAGTTTTTCTAGTTTTTTAATGTACACACATTGCTATAATCTTTCTTCTGCTGCTTTTGCTCTACCCCATAGGTTTTGGTATGTTGTGTTTCCATTTTCATTTGTTTCAAGTAACTGTTTCAATTTTTTTCTTAATCTCTTCATTGACCCACTGGTAATTAAGGAGCATATTCTTTAATTTTTATGTGTTTGCACAGTTTCCAGTGTTCTTGTTATTGATTTCCAGTTTTGTTCCACTGTGGTCAGAGAAGATACTTGATATGATACCAATTTTTTAAATGTTTAGGACTTATTTTGTGGCATAACATATGGTCTATTCTTGAGAATGTTCCATGTGCTGAGGAGAAGAATGTGTATTCTGCAACTGTTGTGTAAAATGTTTTGTAAACATCTATGAGGCCCATTTTTTCTATATTTTAGATTAAGTCCAATTTTCCAATGTTTCTTTGTTGATTTTCTGTCTGGATGATCTGTTCAATGCTAAAAGTGAACTGCTGAAGTCCCCAATTATTATTGTATTGACATCTAACTCTCTATTTAGCTCTTATAATATTTACTTTAATAACCTGGGTGTTCTGTTGTTGAGTACATATATATTTATAATTATTTTATGTTCTTCCTGAATTAACCACTTTATCATTATATAATGATGGTCTTTGTCTCTTTTAATGGTTTTCCTTTAAAATCTATTTTATCTAATATAAGCATAGCTGCTCCTCTTTTTGTGTTTCCATTTGCATGGAACATCATTTTCCATCATTTTATTAATATTTTCATCTATGTGTGTCTATATAAGTAAAGTATGTTTCTTGCAGGCAGCAGATAGTTGGAGCTCATTTTTGTATTCATTCAGTCACTCTATGTCTTGATTGGAGAATTTAGTTCATTTACATTCTACATTATGATTGATAGGTAAAGATTTACTACAGACATTTTGTTATTTGTTTTCTGATTATTCTGTGGTCTTCCCTTCCTTCCTTCTTCTGAAAGTAATTTTCTCTGGTGATATATTTTAATTTCTTGCTTTTTATTTTTACTTTGTATCTTTTGTAGTTTTTTTTAATTTGTGGTTAACACGAGGATTACAAATAACATATTACAACCCATTATTTTAAACTAATGACAACTTAATACTAGTTGCATAAAAAAACTAACAAACTAGCAAAGAGCAAATTAATAAAAATTCTAGTCTGGGCATGGTGGCTCATGCCTGTAATCCCAGGACTTTGGGAGGCCAAAGCAGGAGGATTGCTTGAGCTCAGGAGTTTGAGACTAGCCTCGGTGACGTAGTGAGACTCCATCTCTAAAACAACATCAACACCACCCTCTATACTTTAACGTAATCTCCCTCGCTTTTTAACTTTTGGTTGTTTCTATTTATGTATTATTATGATATGTCTTTAAAAGTTGTAGCTATTATTTTTGATAAGTTTATCTTTACTCTTCTTAGTCAAACTATGAGTAGTTTACACACCACAATTACAGTGTTATTCTGAATTTTGGTGTGTACTTACTATTACCAGTGACTTTTGTACCTTCAGATGATTTCTGATTTCTCATAAATGTCCCATTTTTTCTGATTGAAATACTCCCATTAGCATTTCATATATAACAGGTCTAGTCTTGATGAAATCCTTCAGCTTTTGTTTTTCTGGGAAAGTCTTTATTTCTCCTTCAGGTTTGAAGGATATTTTCATGGAATATACTATTCTAGGATAAAAGAGTTTTTTCTTTGTTTTGTTTTGTTTTGTTTGCTTCAGCACTTTATATATATCCTATCTTCTAAATATGTCCATATTCAAATATGTCATATCTCCTGGTCTGTAAAGTTTCCAATGAGAAATCTGGTACCAGATGTATTGGAGCTTTTTTGCATGTTATTTGTTTCTTTTCTATTGTTGCCTTTGAGATACTTTCTTTATCCTTGAGCTTTTGGAGCTTGATTATTAAATGTGTTGAGATACTTCTATTTGGGTTAATCTGATTGATGTTCTATAACTTTCTTGTTCTTGAATACTGATATATTTCTCTAGGTTTCGAAAGCTCTTTGTTGTTTTCTCTTTGAATAAACATTCCATCCCTATCTCACTGTCTACCTGCTCTATAAGGCCATTAACTCTTAGATTTGCCTCTTTTAGCATATTTCTAGTTCTCGTAGGCATGCTTTATTGTTTTTTATTCTTTTTTCTTTTGTCTCCTCTGACTGTATCTTCAAATAGCCTGTCTTAAAGCTCCCTATGTTTTCTTCTGCTTGATCAATTCTGCTTTTGAGACACTCTGATGCATTCTTTGTCATTGGGTTTTTCAACCCCAGAATTTCCAATTTATTTTTTAAAATTATTTTAATCTCTTTATAAAATTTGTCTAATAAGATTCTGAATTCCTTCTCAGTGTTATCTTGAATTCTGGTGAATTTCCTCAAAAGAGCTATTTTGAATTATTTTTTCTGCTCTGAAATGTCACATATGTCTGTTACTCTGGGATTGGTCACTGGTTCCTTTTTAAGTTCATTTAGTGAGGTCATGTTTTCCTGGATAGTTGTGATGCTTTTGTATGTTTGTCAATATCTGGACATTGAAGATTTAGGTATTTATCATTATCTTCACAGTCTGGGCTAGGTCATACCCCTCACTTTTGAGAAGGCTTCCCAAGTATTCAAATGTAACTGAGTATTGTGATCTAAAACTTTGGACTTTGCAGCCATATCTGCTTTGCAGCAGCATCAAAGTGCACCAAAACCCAGTAATATTCTCAGTCTTTAGATTCATAGAGATAATCTCATTAGTTGTCTCAGGTAAGATCTGGGAGAATTCTTTGGATTTCCAGTCAGTCTCTTGTTCTCTTCCCTTACCTTCCCCCCAAACAAATGATGTCTCTCTTCATGCTAAGTTGTCTGGAGTTGGTGGAGGTGTGAAACAGGTACCACTGTGGTCACCACCACTGGAGCTATGCTGAGTCAGACCTGAAGCCAGCATAGTACTGGCTCTTGCCCAAGACCTGCAGTGACTACTGCCTGGCTAACGCTGATTTTTATTCAAAGTTCAAGTGCACTTTAGTCAGCAGGTAGTGAGTCCAGCTGTGTCTTTCCTTTAGGGAGGGAGCTCCATTTTGTCCCATTACGGGTCTAGAAATGCTATCCAAGAAGTCTGGCGTGAGGGTGGCAAGAGGGAGAGACTCTTTCTGCCCAAGGAAAAGAGAAGGAAGAGTAAACAGGGCTTTGTTTTACAACTTGGGCACCATCTAGTCACAATAAAATAAAGCACCAAGTAGATTCCTAAAGTTTCTGACTCCAGGCTCTACCTCCTGGATAGCATTTCTAGACCCATGATGGGCCAAAATGGAACTCCCTCCGTAAAGGAAAAGACACACCATCACGCCACTGCAGCCTTTCAAATGTACCTGAAAGATATCAGTAGGGCTTCAGGGATGTGGGGATGTCTGGGCTGTTGGGACCCAGGAAATTATGCAGTGTGGTGGTGGCCAGGGCCTCAAAATGGTGCCACGTTGCAGTTGCAAAGTTCTCAGGACTGTGTGGTCTCCAGAATTGGCTCTTACTCTGGAGCAATGTCTTCATGCTGTCTCTAGACAGCTCCCTCTGCTAGTCTCAGGGTCTGCAAGGATGAAGGAGCTCTCCTATGGGTAGGATGGCAGGAGTCCACAGTGGGCATGTTGACCACTGTAGATCTCTCATTTACCTTTTTCCCACCTTGGGTAATTTCTCTAGGCTTTCCCCGTTTCTAGCAGAGCAGATTGCCTCACTTCCATTTCTTTCGATGCCTTCAGCGTTTCCTATCACTTCTCTATTGTGTTTCAGTGTTCTTCTTTAGGTGTTCTATTAAAGTGTGATTATCTACTTGATATTAGGGCTCTTATTTGTGTAGGTGGTGAGTGCTAGATACCTCTGGTCAGCCATCTTGAAGCTCCCTCTAATTCTGTTATTTACATAGAGTATTTACATACAATTTATCACACAATAATAAATAATTTTGTCACTTTTATAACACAGATTATTTTTAAATATAACAAGCTCTGGAGCTTGGGGAAAAATGCTAAAGCAATAGTTTCATTAACTAATTTCAATAAAGTCAAATCTTGTATAATAATTGTCATGGTGTTCAATCAATGCTGAATACAATTACAGAGTTATCTGCAGTTATACATAACTGCAGAGTTATGTATAAAATGCCTTCTACATCTCATCAATTTGTGTTTCCTGTAAGAGTTGCCTTAATAGTATGTCTCTAAATCCAATAGACCTCCCAGCTATTTGAAGAACTTGGTCCTTTCCCTTCCCTGAATTGAGGTTCTTTAGAAATAAGGATGAGGGAAAACAATTGATCAAAATAATTGCATTTGCCTCAAGCAGTTCAGTCAACTTTCTTATCCTTTGTGGTTCCCTCTTGTTTTAATTTCACTGCAGATTCCCTGCCCTAGTAAGGAAATGGTTCTGGCCCTCCCATGATCTTTCAGTTCCATAACTTAACCGTATTGTCTGCTTGCCAAACTCTAGTGATCAACAATTTAAAAAGCAAGCAAACCAAAAATACCTTACCCTTGTAATATACAGTAATTATTGATGGTTGAATATGTGGAGTAGCTCAATACATTAGCAATTTCCTTTATTTCCACCATATTTTACGATCATATTCTTTTTCTCTTTTATTTAAGGATAGATAGACTAGTAGATCTCAATCTTTTCTGTGGCTATTATCTGAGGAATGTAGCATATTTCTATTATTTTCAGTGAATCATCACTTAATAATTCTAATGGCAAGTGTGTGTGTGTGTGTGTGTGTGTTTGTGGGGAGGGGAGAATTAGAGTATAATTAGATGTATGTAAAGAAAATAAACTCAAAAACATTGCACCTTTATTTACAGGGAATGTGTATTGGTTGAAAAATTCATCCCACCCGACTCTCTACCACTGTGATTTTGATGAAGCTTCATTTTCTTAGTCACTGATAAATAGCAATGCAGAAGCATGAGCAAAGAGTTTTGGACCTCCACAAGGAAGGGTCAATGTTCAACATTACACTGCATCCATAACTGTTCTTCCCTTCCTGTACTCTCAGTTACATTTGGCCAGCTCCTTTCATGACACACAAATAATATTTTATCACATTTTTTGTTGTCCTTCACCAAAGTTTGACTGCTATTGTCCCTCTTCAGTTTTTCTGTTTGTACATAAAGCCAACTTTCCAATGAGAACATTTGAGTAGATGCCCATTTAGGTGCTTCAAGTACACTGACAAGAAGGTCTTGTGTGCTCAGAACAGATGGGTGTTATCTGATCCACAGTTGGCACATAAAAGTGTATATGTCAGCCAAAAAAAAAAGAAAGAAAAAAAAAGAAATGTCATCACAAGTATACTAGAGTCTTGAAAGCTTCTTCTTTTTTTTTTTTTTTTCTCTCCATGGCAAAAAACATAGTTAACTCTGGATTTAAATCTAAAAAAAATTGTAGATAAAATTGATTCTTAATGGTTGCACATAGACTAGTATGTTTAAAAGTATCTGTTGTTCACACTAGATAACCATCTCTTTAGGGACAAGGGAAAATGCTCTCTCTCCATTTTTATTAGCTAAAGTATTTTTCCATATTTTTGTCAAATATTTAAGGAAGATTTTATTGGACATGTTGCTAAAAGTTAGACTCTTCCATCTGAATATTACACTATAGTTGCTTACAAAAAACAATTAAGCCAATCAGTTTAATACCTTTCCATAACTACCAGGATGAGGTATACATAGTGTTCCATGGGGGCCCAAGGAGATACAAGAAATCCATGTGTGGATAAATCTACATGTGGATCCAGAAGACAAAGTTTTCTGGAAGAGATGATACATGAAATGAGTTTTGAAAGTTAGTAAGAGGCAGGTGAATAAAGTATGCAAAAGAGTAGGGAAGGGAGATGAAGTGCAATTCAGGAAAGTGCAAAAACATCAGAAGGAACAGGTATGTTTGAGGAAGCAAATGTAGAGAGGCCAGGTTGAGCTTGAGAGGGAGAACAGCAGGAAGGGCCTTGTTCTTTATTCTGAAGCATATGGGACCACAGAAGGATTTCTTTTACATCATCATATTTGAATTTTATAAATATCCCTTTTTCAGTAGTGTGGAAAATTCATAGGAGTGGATCAAGACTGGAGGTCCAGGTACAAGTTATACTTTGTTAAATATATCATACTGGTTTTCATGCATGTCCATGTGAAGAGACTACCAAACAGGCTTTGGGTGAGCAACATGGCTGTTTATTTCACGTGGGTGCAGGCAGGCTGAGTCCGAAAAGAGAGTCAGCAAAGGGAGATGGGGGGGGGGGGCATTTTATAGGATTTGGGAAAGTAATGGAAAATTACAGTCAAAAGGGGTTGTTCTCTGGTGGGCAGGGGCAGGGGGTCACAAGGTGCTCAGTGGGGGAGCTTCTGAGCCAGGAGAAGGAAATTCACAGGGTTAATCACTCAGTTAAGGTGGGGCAGGAACAAATCACAAAGGTGGAATGTTATCAGTTAAGGCGGGACAGGGTCTTTTCACTTCTTTTGTGATTCTTCAGTTTCTTCAGGGCATCTGGGCATATACGTGCAAGTCACAGGGGATGCAATAGCTTGGCTTGGGCTCAGAGGCCTGACATTCCTGCCTTCTTATATTAATAAGAAAAATAAAACAAAATAGTGTTGAAGTGTTGGGGCGGTGAAAATTTTTGGGGGGTGGTATGGAGGGAGAATGGGCGATGTTTCTCAGGGCTGCTTCGAGCATGATTAGGGGCGGTGTGGGAACCTAGAGTGGGAGAGATTAAGCTGAAGGGAGATCTTGTGGTAAGGGGTGATATTGTGGGGTTGTTAGAAGAAACATTTGTCGTATAGAATGATTGGTGATGGCCTGGATACGGTTTTGTATGAATTGAAAAACTAAATGGAATAAGAGAAGGAGAAAAATAGGTATAAAAGGACTAAGAATTGGGAGGACCTAGGACATCTAATTAGAGAGTGCCTAAGGAGATTCAGCATAGTCCTGCCAGCAAAGATTATTTATTTACTTCAAGAGTTTAGAGTGGCAGTTTGGGGATAGCACCAGGAGATATCAGCTGTAATGGCTTGGAGAAACAGTGTAAACTGGCAGTGTAAACAAGAGCAGGGCATGTATGAGTAGTTGAGAACGGTGAATAGGAGTATGACTAACAGATGAGGAAGAAATTGGGCTTGACTGAAGTAATGGGGGCTGTCTGTGAAGCCTTGCGGCAGTATAGCCCAGGTAATTTGCTGAGCCTAATGGGTGTCAGGGTCAGTCTAAGTGAAGGCAAAGAGAGGCTGGGATGAAGGGTGCAAAGGAATAGTAAAGAAAGCATGTTTGAGATCCAGAACAGAATAACAGGTAGTAGAGGGAGGTATTGAGGATAGGAGAGTATATGGGTTTGGCACCACGGGGTGGATAGGGAAAACAATTTGGTTGATAAGGCACAGATTCTGAACTAACTTGTAAGCCTTTTCTGGTTTTAGGACAGGTAAAATGGGGGAATTGTAAGGAGAGTTTATAGGTTTTAGAAGCCCATGCTGTAGCAGGTGAGTGATAACAGGCTTTAATCCTTTTAATGCGTGTTGTGGGATGGGATATTGGCATTGAGCGGGGTAAGGGTGATTAGGTTTTAATGGGATGGTAATGGGCATGTGATCGGTTGCCAGGGAAGGAGTAGAGATGTCCTATACTTGTGGGTTAAGCTGGGGGGATATGAGAGGAAGATGTGAAGGAGGCTTTGGGTTGGGGAGAAGGGTGGCAATGAGGTGCAGCTGTAGCTCAGGAATAGTCAGGGAAGCAGATAATTTAGTTAAAGTGTCTTGGCCTAATAAGGGAACTGGGCAGGTGGGGATAAGTAAAAAGGAGTGCTTAAAAGAGTATTGTCTAAGTTGGCACCAGATTTCAGGAGTTTTTAAGAGGTTTAGAAGCCTGGCCGTCAATACCCACAACAGTTATGGAGGCAAGGGAAACAGGCCCTTGAAAAGAAGGTAATGTGGAGTGGGTAGCCTCCGTATTGATTAAGAAGGGGACGGGCTTACTTTCCACTGTGAGAGTTACCTGAAGCTCCGCGTCCCTGATGGTCTAGGGGGCTTCTGAGGCAATCGGGCAGTGTCAGTCTTCAGCTGCTAAGGCGAGAAGATCTGGGAAGGAGTGAGTCAGAGAGCCTTGGGCCAGAGTTCCAGGGGCTCTGGGAGTGGCTGCCAGGTGAGTTGAACAGTCCGATTTTCAGTGGGGTCCTACACAGATGGGATGTGGCTTAGGAGGAATCCTGGGCTGTGGGCATTCCTTGGCCCAGTGGCCAGATTTCTGGCACGTGTAGCAGGCTGCTGTGGGAGGAGGTTCTGGAGGAATGCCTGGCCGCTGCGGTTCAGGCTTTTGGAAGTTCTTGTGTGCTGGAGATGTGGCTGGGGTTTGTCTCACAGTGGAGGCAAGGAATTGCAACTTTTTTCTATTATTGTACACCTTGAAGGCGAGGTTAATTTAATCCTGTTGTGGAGTTTGAGGGCCGGAATTTAATTTTTGGAGTTTTATTTAATGTTGGGAGCAGATTGGGTAATAAAATGTATATTGAGAATAAGATGGCCTTTTGACCTTTTAGGGTCTAAGTCTGTAAAGCGTCTCAGGGTTGCTGCCGAATGAGCCATGAACTGGGATGGGTTTTTATGTTTGATGAAAAAGAGCCTAAATGCTATCTGATTTGGGATAAAGAAAAAGGAGCATTAACTTTGACTATGCCTTTGGCTCCAGCCACCTTTTTAAGAGTAAATTGCTGGGCAGGTGGGGGAGGGCTAGTCACGGAACAAAACTGTAAGCCAGACCAGGTGTGAGGAGGGGAGGCGATAAAAAGATTACAGGGTGGAGGAGCGGAGGCTGAGGAAGATTTGGGACATAGCTTGGGCTGGCGAGGAGGGGAGAGGTCAGATGGGTCTGTAGAAAAGGAAGATTAGAAAGACTCAGTGACACTTGGGGTTGGGACTGAGGGGACAGGTGGGAGGGAAAGAAGGAAGATTTGGGACAAGTTGCACTGGGCACAGAGACTAGGAAGGGACTGATGTGTAAAAGAATGCCTGGATGTCAGGCATCTCAGACCGTTTGCCTATTTTATGACAAGAATTATTTAGATTTTGCAGGATGGAAAAATTCAAAGTGCCATTTTCTGGCTATTTGGAACTACTGTTGAGTTTGTATTGGGGTCAAGCAGCATTTAGGTTTTAGGTCAGGTGTGAGTTGAAGAGGTTTTAAGTTTTTGAGAACACAGGCCAAGGGAGAAGAAGGAGGAATGGAGGGTGGAAAGTTGACAATAGTGAAGGAAGCAAGCCTAGAGAAAAGAGAGAGTAGAGAAACAGAGGGAAGGGGTTCGGGGGTTCTTACCTTCCAGAAAAGTTGGAAAAGGGGTTGGGGCACAGAGATAAGAGGTCGGGATGCAGAAATAAGGGATTGGGGTGCAGAGATATAAGAGGTTGGGGCGTAGAGATATAAGAGGTTGGGGCATGGAAATAAGGGATGGGGTGCAGAGATAAGAGGTCGGGGTGTGGAAATAAGGGATTGGGGCACAGAGATAAGAGGTTGGGGCACAGAAATAAGGGATTGGGGTGCAGAGATAAGAGGTTGGGGCACAGAAATAAGGGATTGGGGCACAGAGATAAGAGGTTGGGGCATGGAAATAAGGAATTGGGGGTTCTTGCCCCGTAGAAAGCAGGACTTGCCGCTAAGGGTGAAGGAGAAGGGGTTGAGGGGTACTTGCCCCTCTCCCAGAAAAATGGGACTTGCCACTAAGGGTGAAGGAGAAGGGGTTGAGGGGTACTTGCCCCTGCCCCAGGAAAGTGGGACTTGACACTAAGGGTGAAGGAGAAGGGGTTGAGGGGTACTTGCCCCTCCCCCAGAAAAGCGAGACTTGCTGCTAAGGGTAAAGGACAAAGGCAGGCATCCCTGCGTGGTCTGACACCTTTGAAACGTGGGTGAATAATCAGAGAGGTGTCCCTGCAATGATTAAACACCAAAGGAAGGCTGCCTTCCCAGTCCGTGACCGGCGCCGGAGTTTTGGGTCCACAGATAAAACGTGTCTCCTTTGTGTCTACCAAAGGAATTGAAAGGAATTGAAATTAAGAGAAGGGAGAGATTGAAGTGTGGCACCAAGATTGAAAGGAGAAAGAGGTTGAGGGATAGTGAGGGAGGTTGGAGAAGAGAGTAAAAATAGGCCGCTTACCGGATTTGAAATTGGTGAGATGTTTCTTGGGCTGGTCGGTCTGAGGACCCGAGGTCATAGGTGGATCTTTCTCATGGAGCAAAGAACAAGAGGACAGGGGATTGATTTCCCAAGGGAGGTCCCCCGATCCGAGTCACGGCACCAAATTTCATGCACGTCCGTATGAAGAGACCACCAAACAGGCTTTGTGTGAGCAACATGGCTGTTTATTTCACCTGGGTGCAGGCGGGCTGAGTCTGAAAAGAGAGTCAGCAAAGGGGGATAAGGGTGGGGCCGTTTTATAGGATTTGGGAAGGTAATGGAAAATTACAGTCAAAGGGGGTTGTTCTCTGGGGGGCAGGGGCGGGGGTCACAAGGTGCTCAGTGGGGGAGCTTCTGAGCCAGGAGAGGGAAATTCACAGGGTTAATCACTCAGTTAAGGTGGGGCAGGAACAAATCACAATGGTGGAATGTCATCAGTTAAGGCGGAGCAGGGCCTTTTCACTTCTTTTGTGATTCTTCAGTTACTTCAGGGCATCTGGGCATATACGTGCAAGTCACAGGGGATGCGATGGCTTGGCTTGGGCTCAGAGGCCTGACACTGGTAGGGGTAGGTTATTGTGTCCCATATACTTTTAAATTGGCCCAGATTGTTTATATTCTTACCAAAGTATTATTATTAAAATAAGCCAAAATTGGTTTGATAATTTGTACTTCAAGCTCTAACATGGTCTTGTCTGGTAATACGGGAGATCCATGTTGCAGTTAAGAGTGCTCACATAGACACATGGTGAAATCTGACTGATCTCTATTTCCCCTACTCTGTTAAGAATCAATGTAACAAGAGCCTCTCTTTTAAGAACAGAGAGCAGGGCATTCACTAATAAAATCACAAAGAAAAATGACAAAATATGAGCAATAACATATTCTCTGTTGGTGGTGGTAAGAGAAGCATCAGTGGCACAGCAATATGTTGTACCAAAGTGACCAGTGACTTGACCTACAGGTGGTATGAGGCCCACTGCTCAACAGGCCAGGATTTGATGAAACCACTTGGGTATGAAAAGGTATTTTAGGACTACATGAAATATGTGTACAAATCCTCAAGTTTCCTATTTGCACTACAAAATATCTTAAGTTGTAGGAAGAGTCTTTTCATGGAAGTCCTATTTTTAATTTGGTAAATATCTGTTCTACAGCAAAATAGAAAAGATTTGATAAAGCCTATAATTTTGCAATGCATGAATTTGGGAGACTATTCAAAAGAAGCATGCAGGGAACTTCTTTGTTTCATTTCATAAAAATATTATTATAAAAAGCACTTTGTTGACTAAAAAAAATGGTGCCTGTGCAAAAATTTACATATTTAAAGGGAAAATCTTAAATTGAGATTACCCTTTATTTAGCAGCATTTGTTTTGAGCTTAGTTGAATTTCCATTAAAAAACAAAAGGAGGTGGGTTAACCCCTTAGATTGGGTTCCCTAAAAATAGACAGTGTTCTTGTGAAAGGAATTGACTGAGGTCATGCTCTCAGGAGAAGATTGTAGGAAGCAGGGAAAAATCACAAAAAGGAAGAAGGTAAAACAAGAATGTTTTCTTGGCATGGAGATTAATCACAGGAAAGCTCTGGAGTACAAATTATACCAAATAACTGAAACCTTCTCACTCCATGGGGCTAGAGTTTTGTACTTCTTTGGTGGAGAGGGTAATATTCTTCAACATTCTTGTTTCACCTTCCTTCCTGCGATTTTCCCTGCTTCCTACACTCTTCTCCTAAGGGCATGCCCTCAGTCAATCCCTTTCACAATACCACGGAGAGGTATTCTCTATCTGTTGAGAACTATTCTCCGGGAAGATGAGGGACCCCTGAGAGTTGTGTATTTCATTACATTTGAGTCTTCCGTAGGATGACATTTACTATAGACATGCTGGTGCATTTTAAAATGTATCAAATCTTTAAATGGTAGCTTAAAAATCATGAAAATACCTTCATATACCTATTCATCACTTTAACCAATTATTTTTTCCATTATAATTGCAGAAATGTACAGTTACCCTTTAAACATTGAGTGCTAATTTTCAAATTTTCATAGTACCGGTTAAAACCTTGAAAAATAAGGTTACATTGGAAGTGATGAAAAGTTAATTATAGCACTGGGAAAAGTAGTGCTCTAACAGCTAAACAGTAGATTTTACTTCAAGTGAAGAAACAATAAAATTGTAAACCATGAAATTCAAGTGGAGGGATGAGACATATGTCTCATGCATTCAGCCTCAACTACAGTGACAACAGAAACAGTTGGATTCTTTTTTTATAAAGACTTGAAAACGCTAATGAACATAATATACTATACAGCTCAGAAATGAAATATACAGTTTGGACTCTATTGAGACAGTGAAAATTCTAGGATTAACTCACCATGTAAAGTCCCTCTATTTTGCTTTCATACCTTCATGTTGAATTCCTTTCCATGCTGGCATGGAGGATCCTGGTGTACTCTTCCTTCTGTCTTTCTCTGGAATTCATTACCTGTGCTGATTTCTGTCCCTTATCTGACTCATACCAGATGTACAACCAGGATACACAAAACGTGCCAGGAGCACCTTCTCGTCAAGTACCAGCCCATGATTTCATAACAATTGGTCTCCAGTCCTAGTAGTTCTTTCACTTCACAAAAAAAGTATTAAAAAATTTTAAAACAGTATTTTGTAAGATAACAGCATTAAATAGTGTAGTTTTACATTCTCAGCAGTCTAGATATGTTTTATTTACAGTAGCGGGAAACTCGCATTTAATTGTACACTGACATATAATTGATACTTGCAGATTCAGTAAATAGATTTAATGTGTATAACTATCAACAGGAAGGGGGAAGAAAAGCAGAATGGCTAGAGAATGAACAACAGGTACAAAGCTACAATTAGATAGGAGAAATAAGTTCTGGTGATCTATTACATAGTAGGATGACTAGAATTAACAATAATATTCTGTATTGCCAAATAGCTAGAAAAGAGGTTTGTTTGTTTGTTTTGTTTTTGTTTTGCGACAGGGTCTCATTCTGTAGTAGCGGTGTGATCTCAGCTTACTGCAGACTCAACCTCTCAGGCTAAAGCAATCTTCTTACCTCAGCCTCCCAGGTAGCTGGGACTACAGGTGGATGCCACCATGTCCAACTAACTTTTTAAAAAAATTTTTGTAGAAACAACCTCATAGACTGGTCTCCAACTCCTGGGCTCAAGCAATTCCCCCACTTCAGTCTCCCACAATGCTGGGATTACAGGTGTGAGCCACTCACTGTGCCTGACCCAAAGAGAGGTATTTGAATATCTGCATCACAAAGAAGGTGATGGATATTCTAATTACTCTGATTTGATCACTATATATATATATTAGAGGTATCAAAACCATAAATATGTACAACTATTATGTGTCGGTCATAAATAAAATTAAATATAATTTCAAAAAATAATTGAGATACCTTTGAACGGCACTTCTCTGTGCCTAGTTCTAACATTCTTCAAAAGTCACCTCATCCAGTAGCTTAGTATTTTTTTTTTAATTTCACACATTTCTTCCAATAAGGTAAAATTTGATAACCAATAACTGAGCCAACAATTTCAACAATTTGTGTGTCATACTGATGCTTGAAAACCTCTACCTAATCAAAATCATGGGCATGGTAACTCAAATTTTTAAAATTCCTGCCATGAATTTATGCACATAAAATTTTCTAAAAAGTTTTTAAGTCAATGCTTTATTTTGTGATATCAAGTTATAAAAATTTCAGTGGCATTTAATTTATATTTTAGGTCTCTTGCCATATTAGAGTATTATAATATATCAAAATTAGTCTTTTAAATTGTAGCACAGTTGTATTCTAAATCAAATAACTTTATCAGGTATAAATAAATGCATCTTCAGTGTGCATTAAAGACAGATTATAAGTCGTTAAAAGAAATCCTTTTTCTTATTTATTTCCCTTGGCACATGAGTTTCCCAGTAGTATATCCAGGCCCATTTCTAAGAGCTCAAGTCACTGTGATTTGGTTCTTTTTAATTTTTTTTTCAGAAGTGATACAAATTTAAAACACCAAAGAATTTAATCATTCAGAATCCGTAGCAAAAGAAATAACTAAAACATTTTCACATTTACAATTATTTATTTTTCTTTGAGGACTAAGTTAAAAGATTTTTCAAAAAGGAATAATTGTTTATTAAATAAGGATTGAAGGCCTTCTGAGAAATAGGCAAGCAAGACTATTTGTCCTTTGAGATCACTGTGGTTATAAGCCATGAAGAGCTAAAACAGCTATACAAAACTAAATTAATCTGTTATATTCAGTATCAAATTTTCCCTAAAAATTAGATTAAAATGCAAGCATAACTGCAAGATACATCTCTTGGTCATGACATAAATTATTTTATTCTTAAAATCTGTGCTTTAAAAATGTCTATCACATACAGGATAGCTATCACACTCTAACATCTTTTTGTTACATTCTGCAATCTAGTGGAACACATTTGAAAAGGAATGATGTACCTGAGGTTTGCATTTTTCTCCCCTGGTTTTGCTGTCTGAGGTTTTTCATTTAAATTACATGGCCTTCGGTTTTCAACACATAAATATTAATATATTATGTATATATTATGCAAGTATATAAATATCATATATACATGGCTATATATATTATATATGCATTGCATATATATTAAATATATGTAGTATATATGAGTGTAAACATACATATAAATATGTGTATGTATATATATGCATATATACATATATGTTTTACACGCACCACATGTCTTACACAAATCTTATTTTAAATCACATAAATATGGATTAAGTCCATTCATCACAATGGAATCCAAATTTATTTTTACAGTTTTAATTTCCCCAATATTTACTACTTTTTTTAATATAATAAGAGGAGTTAGTCATTAATACACTAATAAAAGTCATATTATGGCCTTTAAATTACTGGAATTCCATCTGATTAACAATTTTTTTTCATTTTTATGACTGAATAGTATCTCATTGTGTATATGTACTGCATTTTATTTATTCTTTCATCCGTTTATGAACACTCAGATTTTTTCCATTTCTTGGCTATTGTGAATAGCATTACAGTAAGCATGGGGATGCAGATGTCTCTTCAATATATTAATTTCATATCCTTTTGATAAATACCCAGTAGGGATTGCTGGACAATATTGTAGTTCTATTTTTAGTTTTTTGAGAAACCTCCAGATTATTTTCTATGATGGCTGCCCTAATTTAAATTCTCAAGCAGAGTGTATAAAAGTTCCTTTTCTCTGAATCCTCACTAGCATTTATTTTTTATTTTTGATAGTAACCATTCTAACTAGGACGAGAGGATATTTCATTGTGGTTTTAATTTTCATTTCCCTGATGGTTAGTAATGTTGAACATTTTTTTCTCCCTATTTTTATTTTTTACTTCAACTTTTATTTTATGTTTGGGGAACATGTGCAGGATGTGCAGGTTTGCTATACAGGTAAATATGTGCCATGGTGGTTTGCTGCACAGATTATCCCATCGCCTAAGTATTAAGCCCAGCATTCATTAGCTATTCTTCCTGATGCCCTTCCTCTTCACCACCTACCTCTGACAGGTCCCAGTGTGTGTTGTTCCCCACCATGTGTCAATGTGATCTCATCATTCAGCTCCCACTTATAAGTGAGAACATGTGGTGTTTGGTTTTCTGTCCCTGTGTTAGTTTGCTGAGGATAATGGCTTCCAACTCCATTCATGTCCCTGCAAAGGATATGATCTCATTCCTTTTTATGGCTGTATAGTATTTCATGGTGTATATGTACCACATTTTCTTTATCCAGTCTATAACTGATGGGCATTTGGGTAGATTCCATGACTTAGCAATTGTGAGTAGGGCAGCAATGAACATGCGCTGCATGTATCTTCATCATAGAATGATGTATATTCCTTTGGGTATATTTCCAGTAATGGGATTGCTGGGTCAAATGGTATTTCTGCCTCTAAGTCTTTAATCCATCTTGAGTTAATTTTTGCATATGATATAAGGAAGGGGTCCAGATTCAATTTTCTGCATATTGCCAGCCAGTTCTCCCAGCACTATTTATTAAATAGAGAATCCTTTCCCCTTTGCTTGCATTTGTCAGTCAAAGATCAGATGGTTGTAGGTGTGAGGACTTATTTCTGAGTTCTCTGTTTTGTTCCATTCGTCTATGTGTCTGTCCTTGTTCCAGTACCTTGTTGTTTTGGTTACTGTAGCTTTGTAGGAGTTTGAAGTCAGGTACCATGATGCTTCCAGCTTTCTTCTTTTTGCTTAGGATTATCCGGGCTATTTGGGCTGTTTTTTTTTTTTTTTTTTTTTTTTTTTTTTTTTGGGTCCATATGAATTTTAGAGTAGTTTCTTCTAATTCTGTGAAGAATGTCAATGGTAGTTTTTAATGGGAATAGAACTGAAACTATAAATTAATTTGGGCAGTATGGCCATTTTCATGATATTGATTCTTCTTATCCATGAGCATGGAATGTTTTTCCATTTTTCTGTGTTCTCTCTGATGTCTTTGAGCAGTAGCTTTTAATTCTCCTGGAAGAGGTACTTCACTTACCTGGTTAGCTCTATTCCTAGGTATTTTATTCTTTTTGTAGCAATTATGAATGGGAATTCATTTATGATTTGGCTCTCTGCTTGTTGATGGTGTTTAGGAATGCAGATTATTTCTGCACGTTGATTTTTGTTTCTTCAGATTGTGCTGAAGTTGCTTATCAGCTTAAGAAGATTTGGGGCTAAGACAATGGGGTTTTCTAGATCTAGGATCATGTCATCTGCAAACAAATATAATTTGACTTCCTCTTTTTCTATTTGAATACCCTTTATTTCTTTCTCCTGCCTGATTGCCCTGGCCATAACTTCCAATATGTTGAATAAGAGTGGTGAGAGAGGGGATTCTTGTTTTGTGCTGGTTTTCAAGGGGAACACCTCTGGCTTTTGCCCATTCAATATGATATTGGCTATGAGTTTGTCATATATGGCTATTATTTTGAGGTATATTTCTTTAATATCTAGTCTACTGAGAGTTTTTAACATGAAGCAATATTAAATTTTATTGAAAGTCTTATCTGCATCTATTGAGATAAACGTGTTTTTTTCATTTAATTCTGTTTATGTGATAATTCACATTTATTGATTTGCATACTTTGAACCAATTTTGCATCCTAGGGATGAAGCCAACTTCATCATGGTAGATAAGCTTTTTGATGTGCTGCTGGATTAGGCCTAACAGTATTTTCTTGAGAATTTTTGCATTTGTGTTCATCAAGGATATTTGCCTAAAGTTTTCATTTTGTTGTATCTCTGCCTGGTTTTTGTATCTGGATGATGCTGACCTCATAGAATGAGTTAGGGAGGAGTACCTCCTTTTCAATTTTTTGGAATAGTTTCAGTAGAAATGGTACTAGCCCTTCTTTGTACCTCTGGTAGAATTCAGCTGTGAATCTGTGTGGTACTGGGCTTTTTTTTTTTTTTTCGGTTTGTAGGCTATATATTACTGCCTCAATTTCAGAACTCATTATTGATTTATTCAGGGATTCAGTTTTTTCTTCTTTCAGTCTTGGAAGGGTGAATATGTCCAGAAACTTACCAATTTTATTTTGTTTTTCAAGTTATGTGCATAGTGGTGTTTATAGCATTCTCTGGTGCTTGTTTGTATTTCTGTGGGGTCAGTGGTGATATTCCCTTATCATTTCTGATTGCATTTATTTGATTTGTTTTTCTTTTTTATTAGTCTATCTGGTGTTCTATCTAATTTATTAATGTTTTTCAAAAAAACAGCTCCTGCTTTCATTGATTTTTGAAGTTTCTCATGTCTCTATCTCCTCTGATCTTGATTATTTATTGTCTTCAGCTAGCTTTGGGGTTCGTTTGCTTTTGGTTCTCTAGTTCTTTTAGTTGTGATGTTAGGTTGCTAATTTGAGATCTTTCTAGCTTTTTGATGTGGGCATTTAGGGCTATAAATTTCCCTCAACACTGCTCTAGCTGCATCCTTGAGATACTGGTGTGCTGTCTCTTTGTTCTTATTAGTTTCAGAAAATGTCTTCATTTCTACCTTAATTTTATTATTTACCCAAGAGTTATTCAGGATCAGGTTGTTCAATTTCCATGTAGTTGTGTAGTTTTGAATAAATTTCTTAATATTGAGTTCTAAGTTTATTGTGCTGTTGTCTGAGAGACTGTTTATATGATTTTAGTTTTTAGCATTTACTGAAGAGTGTTTTACTTTCTATTGTGTGATCAATTTTAGAGTAAGTGCTGTGTGGCAAAGAGAAGAATGTATATTCAATATTTTGGGAGTGGAGAGTTCTGTAGACATGTATCAGGTCCACTGGAACCAGAGCTGAGTTCAGGTCCTGAGTATCTTTGTTAATTTTCTGTCTCAATGATCTAATATTGTCATTTGGGTATTAAAATCTCCCACTACTAATGTGTGGGAGTCTAAGTCTCTTTGTAGGTCTCTAAGACCTTGCTTTATGAATCTGGATGCTCCAGTATTGGGTGCCTATATGTTTAGGATAATTATAGGATAATTAGCTTTTCTTGTTGAATTGAAACCTTTAATATTATGTAATGTCCTTCTTTTTTTTTTCTTTTTTTTGATCCTTGTTGGTTTAAAGTCTATTTTGTCTGAAACTAGAATTGCAAACCCTGCTTTTTTTGGTTTTCCCTTTGCTTGGTGAATTTTCCTCTATTTCTTTGTATTGAGCCTATATGTGTCTTTGTCCATGAGATGAGTCTCTTGAAGACAGCATATTGATGAGTCTTGGCTCTTTATCCAGCTTGCCATTCTGTGTCTTTTAATTGGGGCACTTAGCCCATTTACATTTAAGATTAGTATTGTTATGCATGAATTTGATCCTGTCATCATGATGTTAGCTGGTTATTTTGCCGACTATTTTATGTGGTTGCTTCGTAGTTTCATAGTGTCTCTGGTCTACGTACTTCAGTGTTTTTTTTTCCTTTTCTGAGTGTTTTTTAATATATCTATTGGCCATTTGTATGTCTTCTTTTGAGAAATACCCATTTCTGTCCTTTGCCCACTGTTTAATGGGATTTTTTGTTGTTGTTGAGTCATTGATTTCCTTATATATTATGTAATTTATACCAACATTGGTAAAACTGGAGGTCATTATGTTAAGGCTTAACACAAACAGATGATAAATATTTGAGTTGATGGATAACATAAATATCCTGATTTGATTATTACTCATTCTATGCATCTATAAAAATATCACATGGAGCCCATAAATATATACAAATATTATGTGTCAAAAATAAAAATAACAATCTAGTTTCTTTATGGCAGATATGGGAAAAAGACAGAACATGCATATTATTTTAGACATGCAGTATGAGATATTTATGAGCATCTCCACTAGGAAAAAGGGCCAAAAGGCAGGACATCTCTTCTGCTCCTGTGAATTGTAGAAAAATGACAGAGAAAACTGACTCCAAACATCCAGTAGCATTGTGAAATGAAGGGTGAAGATTTTCAAGAAGGTAGAGAGAGGACATGCTGTGCTCCCCTTCATGTTTTGCTAGGTAGGGCCTCTTTCAGTTCCTGTGTCACATAAATGGCATTCAGAAGTTGTTCTGTGCTCTATGGAAGAATGTATGAAATCTGAGGGTGCTGTTAGTCAAGCTCGCTGGGGATTTTGCTGAAGTAAGTGTGAAGCTACCCTGAAACTAAAAGCTGCAGGACAGATAATTTGGGTCAGAACTATGGGAATATAAAATGCTGGCAATAGCCAAGGTGAGGTGATGTGACTCCTCTGGGAAACCAGATTACAGATTGCAGAATCCACCAACTTTGCCTGCAGAATGCCCAAGAATAGGTTTTGCCCAACATC
This sequence comes from Homo sapiens, assembly GCF_000001405.40. NCBI lineage: Eukaryota > Metazoa > Chordata > Mammalia > Primates > Hominidae > Homo > Homo sapiens. The sequence continues at coordinate 102,283,412 of NC_000006.12, read as the reverse complement.
TTCACTGAAAACACTAGCCAGTATACATTCCCCAAGACATGATTATACAAACTTTCATACACAGATACTATATTGGAAAGAGTCAGAGGAAATATTTGAATATGAAATACTGAAATGTCATGAACAGATTGGATTGCATAAACTAATGATGCAAATCATTTGGCCATTCTAAGTTTCTCAAGTCTCACAATACTACACGTGCAGTGTGTGTCTGTGTGTGTATGTGTACCTGAGTGTGAGTATATTTAATAGTATACTTTCCTGTAATTTCAGAGAGGAACCCATGGGAGAAGAACAAATCAATTATATAAGAGCTAAGCTAAATTTTTTTTTTGCCATCTAAATACAATGGGAGTAAATTTGCAACCTCATCATAGAAATTTAGAAATTTCAATTGAGATGACAATTCTCAAACAAAAATATAAAATGTGAGTTTGGGACATCTAGAGTCCTTTGTGCCTGATTCCCGTCACTTCCCTGGCTATCACCCCCAAAATTAGGAGAGATTTGCCCTTTCAATTTTTAATTCGGATTGAAATCAAGTCATTCAAAACATAGTATTTTTATTAGTAGCCAAATAATCAAAATACAAGGGTCTCATGATATAAATTTCCCACAAAAATTAGATTTAGCTTTAAAATATACCTTAAACAATAAATACCATTTGCAAAATTCCTTCTTTCATCTATTCCATCTCAATAATGCATTAATACTGAAAAAATGTGTTAATCCATTGTACAGAGGAAAAGACTGAGGCTCTCAATATTATATAACTTGTCTGTATTCACAGAGCCAGAAGGTCAGGATCTGGGGTCTGAATGAAGAGACAATGGCCTTTGTTTTCTATATAGTACTAATAATATCACACTTATAAGATCAGGAAAAGTACTTGAGAATTTGGTAACAGTTAAGAGGTAGTATCGGGGGAAAGGTGGAAGAAAGTCCTTGTACTGACAGACTATGGAAAAAAAGGATGTAGAAGACAGAGGTTGGGAACAATATAACTGGAGAAAAAAATGTAAAGGCGAATATAAGTTGTGGATAGTACATAAAATTAATTATTAGAATTGCTTTACAATTTAATATCCAATAAGAGCTAATGACAAAATTTTTAAATAAGTCAAAATAACTTCACTAGTCATTACCTGATCATATATATATACATATGTATATATGTATATATGTATATATATGTATTTATGTATATATGTATATATGTGTGTATATATATATGGTATATGTGTGTATTGTGTATAATCCAAATACCAATTATACATATATTATATATATAATGTATATATTATATATGTAATAAATATATATCTAAGTATATAATTGGTACTTAGATTATTGGTCCCCAGTCAGTTCATATGAAGCATAGAACAACTACGTACATTCCCAGATGCATGTCAATAAAAATTGCCATTGTCATTTTAAGGAACTTGTATTTCCTTAAAAATAGCAACATGAAATATATAAAAGTATAATACTCATTAGTAAAAGATAAATATATAGTCAAATACAGAATACTGTAATACTATAATGGTGGTGTGTAAATCACTTTTATCTTATTATAAGGGCTAAAAGACAAAAAGTATTAAGAATAATAGCTACAACAATTTATTGATCGATACACTATATAAAATAATATATATTATGACATCAATAACATAAAATGGGGGGATGTAAAAGTGAAGAGAGTTATTGTATGTGATTGAAATTAAATTATTATCACATAAAGTAGACTATTATAACTATGAAATGTTTTATGAAGCATTGGAGTATCTGAAAAATAATTTTTATAGAAGATACACAAAATATAAAGGTAATGGAATCAAAGCATATCGCTACAAAAAAAATCAACAGAACACAAAGGAAGACAAAAGGAGAAAAAAATGAGTAGCAAAAGAAGAATAAGGCATACAGAAAATAATTAACAAAATGCCAGTAATGAGTTTTTCACTATCAATCATTTCTTTAAATGCTAAGTGAATTAAAGCCCCCAATTATAAGACACAGATGGATTAAAAACACTCAATTGATTAAAAAATGAGATCCAAATTCATGTTGTCTACAAGACACTCACTTCAGATTTAAAGACACACATGGCCGGGTGCGGTGGCTCATTCCTGTAATCCCAGCACTTTGGGAGGCTGAGGTGGGTGGATCACAAGGTCAGGAGTTCGAGACCAGCCTGGTCAACATGGTGAAATCCCCTCTCTACTAAAAAAATACAAAAATTAGCTGGGCATGGTGGCGTGTGCATGTAATCCTAGCAACTCTGGAGGCTGAGGCAGGAGAATTGCTTGAACCTGGGAGGCAGAGGTTGCAGTGAGCTTAGCCACTGCACTCCAGCCTGGATGACAGAGCAAGACTCCGTCTCAAAAATAAATAGAAATAAATACATAAATAAATAAATAAAGACACACATATGCTGCAAGTGAAGGAATGGAAAAATATCTATGCAAATGTTAAACAAAAGACAACAGATTTGGCTGCACTTTTATCAGACAAAATATATTTTAAATCAGAAACTGTCACAGGACAATGAAGGAAGCTATATAATGATAAAAGGTCAGTTTCCCAGGAAAGTATAACAATTATAAGTATATATGCATTCAACATTAGAGCACCTAAATATATAAAAAAAAAATTCACAGAACTGAAGGGAGAGACAGCAATACAATACTAGTAAGAGACTTGAATATCTCACATTCAACAGTGGCTAGAATATCTAGACAGAAAATCAATAAGGAAATAGTGGACTTCACCAACACCGTAGATCAAATGAACCTAACAAACATATACAGAATATTCCACCCAACAGCAGCAGAATTCACTTTATTCTCAAGTGCATAAGAAACATTCTCCAATATAACATGTTTGGTCACAAAACAAGTCTTAGGAAATTGAAGAAGATAGAAATTATATCAACTGTCTTTCTCAATCATTATGGAAAGAAGCTGGAAATTAGTAACAGAAAGAAAATTTGAAAAAATAAAAAATATCTAGAAATTAAATAACACACTCCTGAAACCAATTGGTCAAAAAATTAAAAAAGAAAAGAAAAGAAAGCAAAAATATTGAACATACACACAGACACACACACATATACACACACACATTCTCACACACATACAACACAGACGCATACACGCACACACAGAGATAAATGCGTTTCTAACAAACTAAAAAGGATATACTCATGACAGTTACAATAATCATTTCTATTAAAAATAAAAGAGATCTGAATCTGCACTAAAACTTTTCCTTACTGAGAAAGGCAATTAGTTGCTAGAAAGGTAGCCATAAACAGCTGTCAACCCCAAAGGACTAGATTTTTGTTTATTCTTGTTGCATGGGCTTCTATTTCTTCCCGTATTTCTGACTGCATATATAATTTTACATTACAAATTTCTACAAACAAAAAAGTTTAATATAATGGAATTAATGGGATTTTATTCTTTATAAAGTGAAAAAGTAAAATATTAAAGAAAAATGTAGACAGATGATTATCAAAACAATTTGCATATGAAATATTTTCCACTGGAGTATATTAAAAAATCAAGAGAGATTAAACATATAAAGGGGAAACAATGATCCAATAACACTCAGAACACCACCAGAATTTGCCACATTCTTAAAACTTATTCAGAATTCAGTGGAATAGGAAATGAGAAAATATAGTAATGCAATCCTACATAAAAAATGTAGGCAAATAAACAATTCACAAATGTGGCAAAGCTTGATATAAGAAAAATGAAAATTGATATTTAAAACTCTATTTTCTGACAAATTAAGTGTAGTTTTAAAAAATTACATGCTTATATGTGTGTACCTCAGCAACTTTTCTTGATTACTACGTGTCATTTGTAAAGAATCCCTTAAAATTTAATACATATTACCACATAGAAAGAATTCCAAACATTGTTATTTACCTAAGTAATCAAATAGCCAGATTAAATGTGAAAGATTCTACATGTAATTATTGCAACTAAATCAACAAACTTTAAAAATATTTTTAAATGGCCTTTCATAGTTTATGAGTGAAAAACTTATTGAAAGCAGATAATAGGATAAGAATATTGTTTACTTTTGTGGCTAACTTACTATAAAAATTGCCTGTTAGGAAATATCCCATAGTACTATGCACACATTTAAACCAATCACGTTATGTTGCAATTATTTCTTTACAGTAACAAGACACAACACAAATAAATGGAAAAAATATTCCATGCTCATGGATTCAAAGAATCAATATTGTTAAAATGACCATACTGCCCAAAGCAATTTATAAATTAAATGTTATTCCTCTCAAACTACTAACATCATTCTTCACAAAATTAGAAAATAAAAACTATTCTAAAATTCATAGACAACCTAAAAAGAACCAAATAGCCAAAGCAATCCTAAACAAAAAGGACAAAGCCAGAGGCTTCACACTACCTGATTTCAGACTACACTATAAAGCTACAGTAACAAAACAGCTTGGTACTTGTACAAAAGCAGACAGATAGACTAATGGGAAAACTCAGAAATAAAGTCACACACCCTGCAACGATTTGATCTTCGACACGACCAACAAAAACAAGCAATGAGGAAAGCCCTCCCTATTCAATAAATGGTGTTGGGATAACTGGTTAGCCATATACAACAGATCAAAGCTGAACCCCTATGTTTCACCATATATAAAAATTATCTCAAAATGGATTAATGATTTAAATGTGAGACCTGAAACTATAAAAATTCTGTAAGACAACCTTGAAAATATTTTTCTCAACATCAGTCTTGGCAAACAATTTTTGGCTAAGTACCCAAAATAAATTGCAACAAAACAAAAATAGACAAATGGGATATAATTAAACTAAAGAGCTTTTGTACAGAAAAGGAAACTATCAATAGAGAAAGCAGACAACCTGCAGTATGGGAGAAGATATTCACAAACTATGTATCTGACTAAGGTATAATATCTAGAATCTATAGGAAACTTAAACCAACAAGAGAAAAATAAGTCCATTAAAAAATGGGCAAATTACATGAACAGACACTTCTCAAAAGAAGACATACAGATGGCCAACAATATATGTACATATATTTCATATAGCTAATCATCAGACAATGCAAATCAAAACCACAATGGGATACCATTTCACACCAGCCAGGATAACTATTATTACAAAGTCAAAAAACAACACTGTGAATAAAGGGGAATACTTATAAACTGTTGATGGAAATGTAAATTGGTTGAGCCACTGGTGAAAACAGTTTGGCGATTTCCCAAAGAACTTAAAAAAGGGCTACTGTTCAAACCAACAATCCCATTACTGAGTATATATACTTGAAAGAAAATATATCATTCTGCCAAAAAAAAACCACGTGCACTCATATGTTCATCAATGCACTATTCACATTAGCAAAGACATGGAATATCAAACCAGGTGCCCACCAATAATAGAATGGATAAACATGTACACCATAGAATACTATGCAGCCATGAAAAAGAATGACATTATGCCCTTTGCAGCAACATGGATAGAGCTGGAGGCCATAATACTGAGGAAATTAATGCAGGAATAGAAAACCAAATACCACATGTTCTCACTTATAAGTGGGAGATAAGCATTGAGCTCACATGGACATAAACATGGGAACAATAGACACTGTGGACTATTAGAATGTGGAGGGAGGAGGGTGGTTTTAAAAACTATGTATTGGGTATTATGCCTACTACTAGGGTGAAGGATCCATTTTCCAAACCTCAGTCATTCAATATTCTAATGTAACAAATCTGTGCAGATACCTCTTGTAACTAACAACACAAGTTAAATTTTTAGAAAATAATAAATACAAAATTAGTATTAATCATAAAAAATAATATAACTAATTAAAATACTTCTATAAGTTGAAATCACAGCCAGAAATTTATCTTTAAATCAATTCAGGAATATCCATTGTCAACAATAAATGGTATTTCAATGACTATATTCCAGATTGCCCTGGCCAGAACTTCCAACATTATGTTGAATAGGAGTGGTGAGAGAGGGCATCCCTGTCTTGTGCCAGTTTTCAAAGGGAATGCTTCCAGTTTTTGCCCATTCAGGATGATATTGGCTGTGGGTTTGTCATAAATAGCTCTTACTATTTTGAGATACGTCCCATCAATACCTAATTTATTGAGAGTTTTTAGCTTGAAGGGGTGTTGAATTTTATCAAAGGCTTTTTCTGCATCTATTGAGATAATCATGTGGTTTTTGTCTTTGGTTCTGTTTATATGCTGGATTACGTTTATTGATTTGTGTATGTTGAACCAGCCTTGCAGCCCAGGGATGGAGCCCACTTGATCATGGTGGATAAGCTTTTTGATGTGCTGCTGGATTCGGTTTGCCAGTATTTTATTGAGGATTTTTGCATCGATGCTCATCAGGGATATTGGTCTAAAATTCTCTTTTTTGGTTGTGTCTCTGCCAGGCTTTGGTATCAGGATGATGCTGGCCTCATAAAATGAGTTAGGGAGGATTCCCTCTTTTTCTATTGATTGGAATAGTTTCAGAAGGAATGGTACCAGCTCCTCCTTGTATCTCTGGTAGAATTCGGCCGTGACTCTGTCTGGTCCTGGACTTTTTTTGGTTGGTAGGCTATTAATTCTTGCCTCAATTTCAGAGCCTGTTATCGGTCTATTCAGGGATTCAACTTCTTGCTGGTTTAGTCTTGGGAGGGTGTATGTGTCGAGGAATTTATCCATTTCTTCTAGATTTTCTAGTTTATTTGCATAGAGGTGTTTAAATTATTCTCTGATGGTAGTGTATATTTCTGTGGGATCCGTGGGAAGTTCTGGCCAGGGCAATCAGACAGGAGAAAGGAATAAAGGGTATTCAATTAGGAAAAGAGGAAGTCAAATTGTCCCTGTTTGCAGACGACATGATTGTATATTTAGAAGACCCAATCCTCTCAGCCCAAAATCTCCTTAAGCTGATAACCAACTACAGCAAAGTCTCAGGATACAAAATCAATGTGCAAAAACCACAAGCATTCTTACACACCAATAACAGACAAACAGAGAACCAAATCATGAGTGAACTCCCATTCACAATTGCTAAAAAGAGAATAAAATACCTAGGAATCCAACTTACAAGGAATGTGAAGGACCTCTTCAAGGAGAACTACAAACCACTGCTCAACGAAATAAAAAAGGACACAAACAAATGGAAGAACATTCCACGATCATGGATAGAAAGAACCAATATCATGAAAATGGCCATACCGCCCAAGGTAATTTATAGATTCAATGCCATCCCCATCAAGCTACCAATGACTTTCTTCACAGAATTGGAAAAAAACTACTTTAAAGTTTGTATGGAACCAAAAAAGAGCCCGCATTGCCAGGTCAATCCTAAGCCAAAAGAACAAAGCTGGAGGCATCACACTACCTGACTTCAAACTATACTACAAGGTTACAGTAACTAAAACAGCATAGTACCGGTACCAAAACAGAGATATAGATCAATGGAACAGAACAGAGCCCTCAGAAATAATACCACACATCTACAACCATCTGATCTTTGACAAACCTGACAAAAACAAGCAATGGGGAAATGATTCCCTATTTAATAAATGGTGCTGGGAAAACTGGCTAGCCATATGCAGAAAGCTGAAACTGGATCCCTTCCTTACACCTTATACAAAAATTAATTCAAGATGGATTAAAGACTTAAATGTTAGACCTAAAACCATAAAAACCCTAGAAGAAAACCTACGCAATACCATTCAGGACATAGGCATGGGCAAGGACTTCATGTCTGAAACACCAAAAGCAATGGCAACAAAAGCCAAAATTGACAAATGGGATCTAATTAAACTAAAGAGCTTCTGCACAGCAAAAGAAACCATCATCAGAGTGAACAGGCAACCTACAGAATGGGAGAAAATGTTTGCAATCTACTCATCTGACAAAGGGCTAATATCCAGAATCTACAAAGAACTCAAACAAATTTACAAGAAAAAAACAACACCATCAAAAAGTGGGCGAAGGATATGAACAGACACTTCTCAAAAGAAGACATTTATGCAGCCAACAGACACATGAAAAAATGCTCACCATCACTGGCCATCAGAGAAATGCAAATCAAAACCACAATGAGATACCATCTCACACCAGTTAGAATGGCGATCATTAAAAAGTCAGGAAACAACAGATGCTGGAGAGGATGTGGAGAAATAGGAACGCTTTTGCACTGTTGGTGGGAGTGTAAATTAGTTCAACCATTGTGGAAGACAGTGTGGTGATTCCTCAAGGATCTAGAACTAGAAATACCATTTGACCCAGCCATCCCATTACTGGGTATATACCCAAAGGACTATAAATCATGCTGCTATAAAGACACATGCACACGTATGTTTATTGCGGCATTGTTCACAATAGCAAAGACTTGGAACCAACCCAAATGTCCAACAATGATAGACTGGATTAAGAAAATGTGGAACAGATACACCATGGAATACTATGCAGCCATAAAACAGGATGGTTTCGTGTCCTTTATAGGGACATGGATGAAGCTGGAAACCATCATTCTCAGCAAACTATCGCCAGGCCAAAAAACCAAACACCGCATGTTCTCACTCATAGGTGGGAATTGAACAATGAGAACACATGGACACAGGAAGGGGAACATCACACACCGGGGCCTGTCGTGGAGTGGGGGGAGGGGGGAGGGATAGCATTAGGAGATATACTTAATGTAAATGTTGAGTTAATGTGTGCAGCACACCAACATGGCACATGTATGCATATGTAACAAACCTGCACATTGTGCACATGTACCCTAGAACTTAAAGTATAATTTTAAAAAAATGACTATATTCCTGAACTCTTTTCCATAATTCCAAAACCTACCCAACCTACAGGTCACTCCAGATTGTGGTTCAGGTTGGGAATGAATAATTCCAGGCTGTACATGACAGGACAACTTCATTCAGTATTCTTAGCAAAATATCCAATTAATGAGAAGAAATTTCCCCCTTCATAAGTTGCTTTACTTTAGCTATATCAATTGCAGGAAAAAGCATTTTGAAATATCATTTCTATGTTCAAGTTTTCTAAGGAACCAGGCAGTTAAAAGAAGAAAGTACAATGCCAATTGTATTAAATAAATTCTTTAATACATTTCATTATTATATTATAGACAAAAAAATAAAAAAAAATGCAGCATAAATATTTTCCATATTTTTTGTTCTGTTAAGATAAAAAGTAGAGTGTCATTTTACCATTGTATGAAAAGAATTGGACTAGGTAGATAAAACACTCTTCTCAGAATAATAGGAAAGTGTTAAAGTGCTACTTAATACATTTGCTCTAAGAGTGTTCTATTAATATTTAAAGATAACTCAAGATTTTAGAAGCCAGTGGTTTCCAAATTAGGCAGTAGCCCCAAGCAGAGCTGTGAATAGATTTCATAAGGTATCAGGGTTTGAAGACTCCTTTAAAGGCTTCTAGTAAGTGCTTACACAATGTTTGGATTTCTTCTACTAGATCCCCACCAAGTGGTTGCAGTCTATGCCCCAAATACTATAGTGGCAGAGAACTCACCATCTCTTGAGGCAGCACCTTCCCATCAAGACTATTACAGAGTTCATCTTTTGAACCAAAATTTATCTTCATGTAATCATGTAATTATTTTTTATTTTTTATTTGTAACGGAGTCTCGCTCTATTGCCCAGGCTGGAGGTCAGTGGCACCATCTCGGCTCACTACAAGTTCCGCCTCGTGGGTTCACACCATTCTGCTGCCTTGGCCTCCCGAGTAGCTGGGACTACTGGCGCCTGCCACCACACCCGGCTAATTTTTTGTATTTTTAGTAGAGACGAGGTTTCACCATGTTAGCCAGGATGGTCTTGATCTCCTGACCTCGTTATCTGCTCGCATCGGCCTCCCAAAGTGCTGGGATTACAGGCGTGAGCGACCAGGCCCGACCATCTTCATGTAATTTTTAGTAACTATATCTCATTGGACCACATAAAACAATTTCACTTGTGTTTCTATTATGCAATTGTAAGCAATATGTTGACTTATGTTTCTTTGCTTTTCTGTCTACTCATTATTTTGTGAAGTACTGGAAGGCTTGATCCTCAGTTTAGTAATCTTTGTATCCCTAGCACTTAATATGGAGCCAGACACACAGTGGCTATACAGAATAAAAGATTCTTAAATAAATGAATTATATCCAAAATGCAAGCTTATTCAAAAAGCATTTTGCCAGAAAAGTGGTATTGAGAATGTGAGAAATCCTAAAAGAGTTAGTGAGGAGTGAATTAAGGGACTGCTGTTGAGAGGCATGATCAACATTGCAAACCTCTTCTTGACATTGAATCCAAAGCAAGGTCTGGAAGCCAGAAGATGTTTTATGTGGTCACTTGGGGCAGTGATTATATCCAAACAGGAAAGAATGTTCTTAGGTTGGTGGGTGTTTAAAGAGAAGTAGTAATCAAGAGTACAATGTTCTGATACTATTTTGTTTTAAGATTCACTGAGAAATTATGATAATATCAAAATTTAATGAGATTTTATATCTATTTTCTTGTGGATGCAGAATTAATTCCAAAATGTGTCAAAAAACTTTTTAATTTTTTTTTTCTATTTTGACTGTATGAATGCTTATATCCTGCCTGTGATATACTATAGTTTTAGAATATGTCACCATTGGAATAAACTGAGTAAAGAGTGCATGGGATCTCTCCGTACTATTCCTTCAAATTTTCATGTGAATTGGCCGGGCGCGGTGGCTCAGGCCTGTAATCCCAGCACTTTGGGAGGCCGAGGTGGGCGGATCACGAGGTTAGGAGATCGAGACCATCCTGGCTAACATGGTGAAATTCCGTCTCTACTAAAAAATACAAAAAAATTAGCCGGGCGTGGTGGCGGGAGCCTGTAGTCCCAGCTACTCGGAGAGGCTGAGGCAGGAGAATGGCATGAACCCGAGAGGCAGAGCTTTCAGTGAGCCGAGATGGTGCCACTGCACTCCAGCCTGGGCGACAGAACAAGACTCCGTCTCAAAAAACAAACAAACAAAAATTCATGGGAATCTAAAATTATCTCAAAATTAAATGTTTATTTTTAAACATATGTAAAAAACACAATAAGAAAGATCAAAACTATAACAAACATGAAATAGATTCATTGCATGACATACCTAGAATTTTTAAAAATGTGTTTAGACATGATCCCCAAAAAGTGGACCAAGCATCATGATACTTTTTTTTACTTGTTACTGCTACTATTGTTTACAAACTGCCTGTTATACCCACTGGCAGAAGAGGACAAGCTTCTGTGATATCCAGTTCTCCAAACCAGTGGTTATCAACCACTATGTCATAACACTGTGACAGGCAGTGAAGGACTGAGAGAAAGGGGGTGAATTAGAGCACAGCATTACATGTGCTCCAGGTCTCAGTCTTATCTCGGCTATTTATGACTATGTCTCACCCACAAGAATGAGTTGCACACTGAACACTGTCCTACGTGTAAGTCACAGCCTCAACACTGTCAAGACTGATTCAGATACACATATACCTTTCTCTTCACCATCAACAAAGTGGTTTGTAATTTAAGAATTTGAGCAAAGGTGACATTGGCTTTATTACTTACATTTACATGCCCTCAAATACCTCTGCCACTAAATAACATTTTGCTATTTCTTTAGGCATTGCTTATTTCATAAGGAATTGAAGAAATTTTAATGAACTTGAATGTCTGGTTCAAGAGAAGAGTATGAATAATTTTGTTTACTTTCTTCCATTAAAGTAATTAAATAAACAAATAAGTAAATATCCTCTTATATCAACAGAAAATATTATCAACAGGGAAAAATCCTGCAACGCAACTGATATTTGAAATAGATGCAATCAGTAGATTTCTGGAAATAGATAATATATAAGATCATCATACTAATGGGTAAAATGATATATGGAATTACAAGGGAGGAAAGAAAGAAAGCAGTTGTTTCCATAAGGGAACTACAGAAAGTGCTGTATTTAGATTACAAAGTCATTCTAAAATTGGCATTTAGACTGAGTAGGTCCACAGCCTGCTTGTCTATTCCTCTACCCATGCATTTTTTAAATGAAGACTGTAAGACTATTTTTCTTCCAGTTTTACAGTGTGCCTCCAATTTGGGGAGAGACAAATTGGAGACTTCTGATTTCAAAATGAAAAGACAAGAGTTGTCTATACCAATGGCATATTCTTTTATTCACAAATTTGGAGGGGTAGCATGAATTACAAAAGAATCACATCTAGGCATGCTTTGGTTAAATTTTAGAAAATCAAAATATAGCTCAGGTCCTGATAGATCACAGAAAGGAAAATGCAGAACCAGGTTCTTCATCAGCAATACTATGTGCAAATAATAATAATAAGAGAAAATGTTGCTCAAATTTCTGAGGAATAAAAGTATTTTCTTCAACCTATAATTGTGTACCATGAAAAATTGAGAATGCATTTTTGGACATAAAATATTTCAGAATTTTTCAGAAATATGTTAAGTAATTACTCTGGGATTTCAGAGGTAAAGTATATTGTGGATTTGCTGAGACATTTTTTAAAACTGTGATACTAACTATATAGATTTACATATACATATATGACTGTGTGTATATATATCTGGGCATGTTTTTGCATATAACTATATATGCACATAAACAAATTTGTGGTGACAGATGTATAAGAAAGCCACAAGGAAATTATCTTAAATTAGATGAGAAATTTGGAACAATACATGAAAAATAGCTTCAAGAAGAAAATGTATTGAACATCGAACACAGTGTTTCTAGTTAAAACAGAAAGCTAGTTACAGCTTTGGCTGTGTCCCTACCCCAATCTCATCTTGAATTGTAGCTCTCATTATTCCCACATGTTGTGGGGGGAAACTGGTGGGAGATAATTGGATCATGGGGGCTGTTTTCCCCATACTGTTCTTGTGGTAGTGAGTAAGTCTCACGAAATCTGACGGTTTTATAAGGAGAAGCCCCTTTCACTTGGTTCTCTTTCTCTCTCTTGCCTGCCACCATGTAATATGTGCATTTTGCCTTCTGCCATGATTGTGAGGCCTCCCCAGCCATGTGGAACTGTGAGTCACTAAACCTCTTTTCCTTCATAAATTATCCAATCTCAGGTATGTCTTTATCAGCAGTGTGAGAATGGACTAATACATAGAGTTTGTACAATAATAATAAACAGAAGAAATAGAATTGCAAACTCCAAAAAATAGAGAAGTCATGATATAATCAATATTAAAATTAAATAAAACTTTCTGTAATTTATAAATAGTCATAGCACTTAAGAAAAAAATAATCCATTGTTTAAATCTTAGAATGTTCTCCATGATTTGATTCAAAGTTGATAGCTTGTAACATAGATGATTAACTATCTTCATATTACTTTTTTTGACCTATTACTTTCATGTGTATTTATTTACTATTATCACAATAATACTATATGTATGTTAAAAAATTAAGGATTATAGAATAGCTGATTATGTTATGATGAATATTCTAATTACTATTGCTACAAAAGTAATTACTGCATAACTTAGAGGCTTAAAAGAAGCACTTTATATGATACTGAGTGTATTAATTAGAATTTGTTTAAAGTTTCCTTCTATTTTTAAATTACCTCTTTTTTCCCCTCTAGATTAACTTGTTTATTTTTCTTTGTCATGCTAGTGACATTCCCCGTATATCAAGTGAATATAATAATATCATCATGGTTATAAATAAAAGAAAAATAGTGGGAGCGGGTTCCCTCTGCTATTAGATGAATACTACTACCTTGATTGGCCTCTCTATTGAAAATAAACTCTGAGTGATATGCAAGTTTTGTGAGATGGCAGCATTCAGTTTACAACGCATGGTCCTAAATGTGTTGTAAGGCCAGGAAGGACTGGCCTTGTTCTGAGGCATTCACAGCAATACTAGCATTATTTCTATAGAAAATTATTAATTTTTTTAAATTTCACATAAAGTACATAGAGATTTTGTCAGGTAATAAACCCCTTATTAGCTCTACTCTGGGGAGGAGAGTTTAGGATGGCCAAGAAACATAGTTACACTATATAGTACTTCAAGTAACCCTTCTCAGTCCCACTCTCAGTTGTCCCTGCTGATGTCAGGACAAATAGCTAGCATTGCAATAACCAAATTGCTTCCTGCTGTTATTGCAGACACATGTTGAGGCCTTCTATTCTATCACATGTATTCTATTTCCTCTGACAAAAATAAGTAAAAATATTTTGCTGTCAATGACTACTTTTCCCATTATTTAATTATTATGGGGCCATCCACGTCTTCCTAATCTGTTTATCTCCAATGATGAGCAGAGTTAATTATGTCATTTCATAATAAAGGTGACTATAGGGAAAACTAAATATGTCGTGTGTGTGTGTGTGTGTGTGTGTGTGTGTGTGTGTTGAGGGTGGGGGATGGGTGTGCATATACATATAAACTCAAAGAATTGAAAAAGAAGGAAAAGAGTTGGGTGTCTGTAGAAATGTACTAAATTCCTCATAGTTTTATTTATGAGAGAAAAAAATAATACCAAATGAATAAATAAAAAAATAGAGGTAAAAGCTTTAGAGATAAAAATAATTACAAAAAAATTAGAAGCGAAACAACTATCTCTTTTTTTATTATTATTATACTTTAAGTTCTGGAATACATGTGCAGAATGTGCACATTTGTTACATAGGTATACATGTGCCATGGTGGTTTGCTGCACCCGTTAACCTGTCATCTACATTAGGTATTTCTCCTTATGCTATCCCTCCCCTATCCTCCCGTCCCCAACAGGCCTCAATGTGTGATTTTTACCTCCCTGTGTCCATGTGTTCTCATTGTTCAACTCCCACTTATGTGTGAGAACATGCAGTGTTTGGGTTTCTGTTCCTGTGTTGGTATGCTGAGGATGATGGCTTCCAGTTTCATCCATGCCCCTGGAAAGGACATAATCTCATTATTTTTTAGGACTGCATACTGTTCCATGGTGTATATGTGCCACATTTTCTTTATCCAGTCTATCATTGATGGGCATTTGGGTTGGTTCCAAGTCTTTGATATTGTGAACACTCTTTCAATAAACATATGTGTGCATGTGTCTTCAGAGTAGAATGATTTATAAACCTTTGGGTATATACCCAGTAATGGGATTGCTGGGTCAAATGGTATTTCTAGTTCTAGATCCTTGAGGAATCACCACACTGTCTTCCACAATGGTTGAACTAATTTACACTCCCACCAACAGTGCAAAAGCGTTCCTATTTCTCCACATCCTCTCCAGCATCTGTTGTTTCCTGACTTTTTAATGATCACCATTCTGACTGGCCTGAGATGGTATCTCATTGTGGTTTTGATTTGCATTTCTCTGATGGCCGGTGATGATGAGCATTTTTTCATGTGTCTATTGGCTGCATAAATGTCTTCTTTTGAGAAGTGTCTGTTCATATCCTTTGCCCATTTTTAATAGGGTTGTTTTGTTCTTGTAAATTTGTTTAAGGTCCTTGTAGATTCTGGATATTAGCCCTTTGTCAGATGAGTAGATTGCAAAAATTTTCTCCATTCTGTAGGCTGCCTGTTCATTCTGATAATAGTTTGTTTTGCTTTGTAGAAGCTCTTTGGTTTAATTAGATCCCATTTGTCAATTTTGGCTTTTGTTGCATTTGCTTTTGGTGTTTTAGTAATAAAGTATTTGCCCATGCCTATGTCCTGAATGGTATTGCCTAGGTTTTCTTCTAGAGTTTTTATGGATTTCGGTCTTACATTTAAGTCTTTAATCCATCTTGAGTTAATTTTTGTATAAGGTGTAAGGAAGGGGTCCAGTTTCAGTTTTCTGCGTATGGCTAGCCAGTTTTCCCAGCACCATTTATTAAATAGGGAATCCTTTCCCATTTCTTGTTTTTGTCAGGTTTGTCAAAGATCAGATGGTTGTAGATGTGTGTTATTATTTCTGAGGCCTCTGTTCTGTTCCATTGGTCTATATATCTGTTTTGGTACCAGTACCATGCTGTTTTGGTTACTGTTGCCTTGTAGTACGGTTTGAGGTTAGGTAGTGTGATGCCTCCAATGCTTTGTTTTTGTTTTTGTTTTTGTTTTGCTTAGAATTGTTTTGTCTATATGGGCCTTTTTTTGGTTCCACATTAATTTAAAAGTAGATTTTTCTAATTCTGTGAAGACAGTCTTTGGTAGTTTGATGGGAATAGCATTGAATCTGTAAGTTACCTTGGGCAGTATGGCCATTTTCATGACTTTGATTCTTTCTATCCATGAACATGGAACATTTTTTCATGTGTTTGTGTCCTTTCTTATTTCCTTGAGCAGTGGTTTGTAGTTCTCCTTGAAGGGGTTCCTCACATCCCTTCTAAGTTATATTCCTAGGTATTTTATTCTCTTTGTAGCAACTGTGTATGGGAGTTCACTGATGATTTGGCTCTCTGTTTCTCTATTATTGGTGTATAGGAATGCTTGTGATTTTTCACCTTGATTTTGTATCATGAGACTTTGCTGAATTTGCTTACCAGCTTAAGGAGAGTTTGGACTGAGACGATGGGGTTTTCTAAATATAAAATCATATCATCTGCAAACAGAGATAATTTGACTTCCTCTCTTCCTATTTGAATATCTTTATTTCTTTCGCTTGCCCGATTGCCCTGGCCGAAACTTCCAATACTGTGTTGAATAGGAGTGGTGAGAAAGGGCATCCTTGTCTTGTGCAGGTTTTCAATGGGAATGCTTTCAGCTTTTGCCCATTCAGTATAATATTGGCTCCGGGTTTGTCATAAACAGCTCTTATTATTTTGAGATATTTTCCATCAATACCTAGTTTATTGAGAGTTTTTAGCATGAAGGGATGTTGAATTTTATCGAAGGCCTTTTCTGCATCTATTGAGATAATCACATGGTTTTTGTCATTGGTTCTGTTTATGTGATGGATTACACTTATTGATTTGCATATGTTGAACCAGCCTTGCATCCCAGGGATGAAGCCAACTTTACCGTGGTGGATAAGCTTTTTGATGTGCTGCTGGGTTCGGTTTGCCAGTGTTTTATTGAGGACTTTTGCATCGATGTTCATCAGGTCTAAAATTCTCTTTTTTTGTTTTGTCCCTGCCAGACTTTGGTATCAGGATGATGCTGGCCTCATAAAATGAATTAGGGAGGATTCTCTCTTTTTCTATTGTTTAGAATAGTTTCAGAAGGAATGGTACCAGCTCCTCTTTGTACCTCTGGTAGCATCGGCTGTGAATTTTTCTGGCCCTGGGCTTTTTTTTTGGTTGGTTGGGTATTAATTACTGCCTCAATTTCAGAACTTGTTATTGGTCTATTCAGGGATTCGACCTCTTCCTGGTTTAGTCTTGGGAGGGTGTATGAGTCCAGTAATTTATCCATTTCTTCTAGATTTTCTCGTTTACTTGAGTAGAGGTATTTATAGTATTCTCTGATGGTAGTTTGTATTTCTGTGGGATCAGTGGTGATATCACCTTTATCATTTTTTATTGTGTCTATTTGATTCTTTTCTCTTTTCTTCCTTATTAGTCTAGCTAGCTATTTGTTAATCTTTTCAAAAAACCAGTTCCTGGATCCACTGATTTTTTTGAGTGTTTTTTCGTGTCTTTATCTCATTTAGTTCTGCTCAAAACAACTATCAATTGAGAGTGGTTTCAGGCTGAGGACAGAGGGAAGATGGAGAGATCTGGAGAGTTTTATTACATTTTAAATTATTTTAAAATTTATTTTTTACATTTAAAGTGTCTTTGCTATATTCTTCAAGTATGTATGTTTGCATTTATAATTGAATAAGATAAAATAAGACAGTGCCTACCTAGCACTATCTGGGGCATAAGGAACCTCAGCTATCAGATATTTAGCATTTCATCTCATTATAATGCCTTTCCTAAAGAGGTGATAGATATAGTTGGTTGTGGCTGATGTATTTAAGTTTTTCAATCTCAGCTGCAAATGTAATTTTTATTTTAAATATATTAATCATTTGTCATATCTTAGTAATATCAAACACTTTATATATTTAACTTTTTCTGTTCTGACTCCAAACATAGTAAGAAATCTTCTGACTTATTATATTTACTATGTACAAAGTGGATCTGCTTGCCCATGGAAAGAAATGTGATCAACATGTTGGTTTTAAGAATCGAAAATTTGGTAAAAATAAATTGACAAATGAATAAAAGTATCTAATGTATCAGTAAAAATACTGATATTTTTGTCCTTCTTTACCATCTAAGAAACATACAATGAGACTTAAAATATATGGATAGAAAATAGAACCTAATTAGCACTTATCATCTCATTATTAGTTTTCAGATTCAAATATTATCATTCCAGTGTAGACTGTATTTCTCTTAAAATTAAGACAAACTAATTTTGTTTGATTATGTGTTCATGTGTCAGTTTAATGCCATATTACAAACTGTGTTATATCATCTCTCATAAACTTACTTTATTTTATAATATAGAATCTCATAAAAATATTAAAAATTCTCACTGTACACCTTATAACCTTTGGTTCATATTTTAGATTAATTTCCAAATAACTGCTCTTATAAAAAGTTATAAAAAGAAACTTTATAATCTTAATGAGGAACATTTTACCAATGACACTGCTGGAACTAGAGATTACAATTTTTTTTTAATTTTTTTATTTTAGTACAAAAATGTACTATGATATGATATTTTAGTATAAAACATATTAGGCTAATATAATTAGCTTACTTTCATGATAAATATTTCAAAATATACTTTCAAAATATACAGGTAATTGAGTAGTGAAGTAGTGTTTTTATCTATATCAGCATAGATGTATTTTGGTTTGCTAAAAATGTTTAGCAAATCCTGGTTATTTTATAATCCTTCTATTCCAGATCAAATATGGGTCTTAAGGCATAAAAATGACAATATAATTTAAAAATTGTTTTAAAGTAAGAACAATGTTATCCAAGTAAAAACAAAGTCTAAGTCAATCAAATTTAATATTGACATCTAACATAATTTTAAGAATGCTTTGACTTCCCATTTTCTGAGGATTGAAAACTGTGGTGATGCTGTATTTCTTAAAACTATTTATTTATTACTAATAATTTTTATGTTTTTTCATTTATTTTACAGACTAAAGTTCACCATTTGTTTTTGTTTGTTGTTGTTGTTGTTTTCTTTTGGAAACCTCAGTATTTCATTTTGAAAAAAGAAAATACTCATGCTGCCAGGTTGCATGGATTGTGCTTGTACTGGTCTGTTCTAGAAGCCAAAAGGAAGAAAAGAGTTAACAGGTACCTTCTGGGCTTTCGCCTAGCCCCAGGGATGTCTGAAGATTTTAACCTCCATTAAATCTTCGCTGAAAAAATTACTCAATAATTTTATGAGCATTCATATTCCAGGACCACATAAATGAAAGTATTTCAGGGGTTATAATATATAGGAACAAGTAAATATTTCTTATTATCAAGATTATTTATCAAGCACAGAGGGAAAAAAGTGTTGGTGAACTATAATTGTGCCAGATAATGGAAGCTGGACTTGTCCCCCTGAAGAAGTTACATATTTATCATGAGGAAATAAAAGTTAAGGAGCTGATGGCTTCTCTCATTTGGCATAGTCTGCATAAGCTCAGTATGTCCAAAGTCACAGTGACCTGGGTACATCAGCATCTATGCCTGGGAACCACAAGACCTCTGCTCTACTGTGGCTGAAGTCTATGTATATGTGGTGCTCATTGAAGGCTATTGTGTTTCACACTTTTAATTTTTAACCTAAACTCAAGAACTACTGTTGGTCAGGTAGAGGGGAAATTTTACCAAGCAAAGTTTTCCTTCATAGTTTGTTTGCTCTAAACCTAGAATAACACAACATGCATTTGGGCCAAACTAAGCCAAACAAAACAGAACAAAATAAAGCACATCACACATTTTAAAAATTATATTAAAGTATCAAATTGTTTTTTTATGTTACTTGTAGGCATTTAATTGCTAGACTCCAATAAATATTTTTTTAAACTGGGAAAAATTTAAGTTAAATCTACATTTAGGTAAGACTCAAGTCCATTTTAAGAGATCTAAAATATGTAAAGAGTTTTGCTTATTAAAGTTAGCATTCTTGGAAAACTTTGGTCAAAGATTATTTTATGTAATGTTAATTTGCAGACTGCACATCCTTCTATGCCTTTGCAAAGTAATCAAAGTTCCTATGTTCACTAGGCTAGCTCTTATGGCACCAAAAATGTGAGAATTTATGAAGTGAAAAAGTCATCAGATATAATTAGCAGAACTGTTAAACATATGGCTCATATGCCTTAATGAAATTTCATATTTTAAATGCCTATCTTTTGTTTTAATCTACATATTTTGATGAATTATATGCTTTTTAAATTCTTAATCACTGATCTATATATCAATCAAATAATCTTTATGAAAACCTACATAATTACAAGAGATTCAACTATATATTTAATATTTATAATATATTTAATATTTATATGACTTACTTTGCATTGAAGAGACATTTAAAAGTAGAACAAATTTACTGCTAAGTTCATGTAGCATAAATATAAGAAATTTAGCTAAAGGGATTTTTAGATCAATACATTTGGTAAAGAGACTTAATTAAACACACACACACACACACACACAAGAACATGTAGTTGAAGTCCAAGTTTTTAAAAGATAAAATTCAAAATACTTATTCAGCAAATATTTCAAAATAGAATTTTCAAAATTAGATTGTTAGCTCCACAGAATTTAATTTTCCTACCTTCCTGTAATTACTTCAAATGTTTAAAGCCATATATTTAAGAACAGATGCTGTATTGAGCTATATGCTCTTGTGCCTGTACCAAACAAGAATTATAAGGATATATAATAGAATTTTCATTTTCTGGGTAATTAGTCTGCCAGAGGCCACAAGACAAGCATTTTACTTTGTTAAGTTCATTCAAACGGAGGAAAAACATTTTTGAAAAATGAAAATGGAAGTACTTACTTTGTAAGGATAATTACTTTATTCCAGAAATAATATTCCCAAAAGCATAGCTTTTATAAGGCCACAACAGTTGTTTTTCAAATTTACAGAAACCCCATAAAACATACATTAGATGGTCAATAAAGAACACTCCTGGGTTTAATCAATATCTGAAATTATCCTTAATTACACTTTATATTCTAGGTTCACTTTTTTCTTCTATGCTCACTTTAAATAAGGGGCATTTGAGGGAATTTAGTTTTTCTGTATGTATCTTGGTAGCCTTATTAATGGAAGTCATTCTTTAGCTTCAGCAGTGAAGTGAGCAAGCAGGCTCCTATCAGGCCTTGAAAGCCAGTGGTTAATGTTCAGGAATTTTGTGAGCACACTGGTAGTTTGAAATTGGAAATAGGATATTTGTACTATGTATCTTGGTAGCCTTATTAATGGAAGTCATTCTTTAGCTTCAGCAGTGAAGTGAACAAGCAGGCTCCTATCAGGCCTTGAGAGCCAGCGGTTAATGTTCAGGAATCTTGTGAGCACACTGGTAGTTGGAAATTGGAAATAGTATATTTGTACCATGTATATTGGCAAGTATAATAAATTGATTTTTTTTGTTTGCTTCCTTGTTTTCCTTTTTCTTTTCTGAAGAAACAGTTATTAATTTTTCACCAGCACAGAACTAGTGTGTTGTTCCCAATACTCAAATGTGTGAGAAATTTTTCTGCTGGCTGTGATTATAAACGGGGTGATTAGTGAATTTCTTTGTGAATTAATCATTTTTTGCTCATAAAATTCTACCCCTTCTTCTTTACTTTCTTCACTTTGTGTAAGGCCAGCTTCCACATTCCAAATATTATTTTTTACAAAGCCATCAGACACATCTCCCTAGAATGACCCTTTCAGCATAATTTCTCTGCTCCTTTACCTGATGCTTTTGTTCAGTTGAGCTCTGGTGCTAAAATTCTCTCTTCAATTTTCTGTTTCTTTGCATAGTATTCTTTGCTCCAGCCAACTCGTTCAGTTTGCTAATGCCATTGTTTTTTGTTTGTTTGTTTGTTTTTTGTTTTTGTTTTTTCTATAACATTACCCTTTTCCTTACTTAGAAATCTCTTTATGTTTTCTGAAATATTTGACTCCTACCCATTTATCAACAGTCAAACTAGTTTTTGTTTCACTGGCAGAAAAAAATAAGAGAATATCACGAAATTACCTGAATGCAAATTTATTTTTCCGCCTAGTAGTTAACCAAATGTTACGAGTAAATCATATATGATTTGAGAGGTACTTGTTAGGATAAAGAATACACAATATTAAATGTGAAATGATGTTTTGGTGACCATGAAAATGCACTTCTCAGACATCCTGCTGCAGGAAATACAGGTGACCTGATAGGGGAGGAAAAAGATTGTGCACTAGAGGAGCTGCAAGAATTGGCAACATTTAGTAACAGAAGCCAGGAGAGTATCCTGGGATTGGATTTTTAGGGTGTTATATTGGTAGGAAATGAAGTTAGAACTTAAGAGTAGATAGACCAGACATCCATTTAGGGATGCTTTCTCATGACATGGGATTACACATTCTAGAAATAACTCCAGGAGCAGTGGCTCTATATTAGAAACCAAAAAAAAAAATAAAAAATGATGATGAATACTGAGCAAAACAAAAATGCCTAAATTTCTCTGGAAGATGGTACAGGAGAATAAGGGAAAGTAAATACACTGTAATAGACATTTTGTGTGGTGCCAGAAGACACGCCAGGGATTATGTTCCATGAGATGACCAAGAGGACATGCCACTCACAAAGCCATTAGAAATCTGCTGGTAAGAGTACAAACAAAACCACTAAGCATTCAATAATGTCTCCTCTCAGCAGGACAGTGATGAATTAGGAGAGGTATTAACAGATTTGGACTCCTTAATATAGAGGGATGATGAGGTCCTGAAGTAATAGAGGCCCTATGGCAGCACTTAATCACCAGAAGCCGGGAGGCCATAGTTGCCATGATAAATAATGGCAGTTCAGAGGGACAAACAAAGAAGCTAAATCTTATGATTACAACAGTTTGGTAACCCTGAGAGAGAAATGAATGCGCAGAGAACAAGGGAACTTCTTGACATTCATAACCAGAAGACAAGAATAAAGGTGCAGGAGGCTAAGGGCAATCATTCCAACAAAATGTTATGAATCACTTGCTCAGTTCTCAGATTTGAACCAATTTTCAGATTCAAAATCCATTGACTAAAGAGGTGGCTAGGATCCCAGAAAAAAAAATCACTGCAACACCAGAATAACTATATAAAGTACTGATGCCATTTCTTTTCCAAGGGGACCTATGACTATTGAATGACCCTATGAACTAAAGAAAGATGAATATCAAGACATTTTAAGGCCTGTTTGAAACAACTGATATCGAGAAATCCAATCTACCATCATGTCCCACTTGTCAGAGTCAAGATTTTCAGGGACCAAATAATAAATGAATTCTGGCTGAAGTCTAACTCACTTGTTCTATGGACTGAGTCCATGATCATTTTCCCACTCCTGGATATATAATTAGAGTTGACATATCTGGAAGTTAAGTAACTACCACATTTTTTTTGCCCTTTGAGAATAAGCTATTACAGTGGGGAAACCCAAGTGGAAACCTCTGAGACTAAATTATAATCAATATTGCCTTCTAGAGGGATGGTTGGCAAAAATTAGTGCCAACATTAAAGACTATGCAGGAGCAGTGGTCCCTGTCATGTCATGGTTTGACTTACAATAAAATCCCTGCAGAAACAGAATGGATCCTGGAGAATCACTGTAATGAGGTCTTATTGCTAGAGAAGATTACTAGGCTGTACTGCAAACATAGGTACATGCCATAGAGCCATGGGATTGGTGAACACATTATTTCCTATTTCACTTACAAAAGAGAATCAGAAATAGTTTTAATTCATATAGAGTAGAAAATAATAGCTATTTGCCATTTTACCTGAGGAATATGAACCATTTTATCTTACAACACAATAGAGTCTGAAGAGATTTTTACCACCTGGATATCTCATGTAACATTATGCTTTATATTACAGCCATTACCTTAGCAACATCATGTTGATCCAACAGATGACGCCTGGAGACCTTGGTAAGACACATAATATCCAAAAGACACATGTTAAACCTACAAAGTTTCAGGAGCATTCAGTGAAGTTTTAGGTTCGTGTATGTAGGAGCATGCCAAGATATCTTCCTTAATGTAAAAAGCAGATCAACACATGCTGCATCCTCTACCACAAAGAAGAAGGTACTACGGAAATGACATGATGAACACATGAAAAGAGTGGCCACATAGGCAGGTCATATATAGGCCTGAGAGCATAGACTCCAAATTACCAATGCCAGCTTAGTTACTATGGCCAATAAATATCCAAATTATTAGCAACAGAGATCAGTATTCAATCTTCAAACAAAACTATCCTTGAAAGAGATCGACTTGTAACTTTGTAGTAAGTTGTTTATATTGAGTCCCTTCTATCCTAGAGGGAAAAAAATTGTCTTTATAGGAATAAATATCTCCTCTGAGTATAGGTATTTATTCCTGCATTTACAGCCTTAGCCAGCATGGAACTTATGGAATGCCAGATCCACAGGAGTAAGCATAGCATCTAAATAGGCCTCTCACTTTACAGCAGAGGAGAGAGGCCCATGACCATGGGACCTATCAGTGTGTCACCCAGAAGCAGCCATCCACGTGGAAGCCTGGAATGATCTGCTCAAGACATAGCTAAATTCGTAGTTTGGAGGCAATCTTCTGAAAGAAAGAAGTGTCATCCTTCCATATACTGAGTATTCATTAAATCAGAGATCTTTAAGTGATGTCATGTTCCCAATAAAAATAATATATTGGTCCAGGAATGAAAGGCTAAAATAGAAGTAACCTGTTTTTCTATCACCTCCAATAACTCATGGTGGAAATTTGTGGGAAAATTTCAGTCCCCACAACTTCTAGCTCTTTAGGTTTAGATATCCCCCAGGCTCCCAAAGGAGAAAGGCTCTCTCCAGGGCACACAAAGGCCACATTAAACTATAAGCTATGGCAGCCAACAAGATAGGGATTCCTCATATCCAAATACCAGCAGATTTTACTCAAGAGTTAAAGAGAAAAAAATATATGTGGAGCACAGGAGATCAATTATTGTGTCTCCTAGCACTCAATTGTCCTGTTATATCTGTAAACGAATGGGCACAGCACCAGCCTGAGAAGGGTAAGATTTGTCTCAGACTGCTCTGGAATGTTGGTTTGAATCACATCACCGGGTGATAGATGGGGGTGAGTTTAATTTCAGATGCATAGTGGAAGACCAAGAAGATGAATACCAGCGGCACCCCTAGGCCACCCCAAGGCCAACTATAGTATCAGGATCCATAGTTCATCACACTAACCTCCCTCTTTTAAGTTTACACTTGAAAGAGGGTCACATGGTAGCAATGGAGGGGCTATTTTTCAAACCTACATGAAAAAGGAGATTTTGAAACATAAGGGGTGAAATATAGTGACCATAGAAATGTACCACTCAGATTTACTGCTTTGGGGCACATACTTGACTAATAGCTCCAGCTATCATCCTGCTAATTTACCTCTGTATTCATGCCAAGGACACACTTCTCCTAGGCCACTCCTAACCAGTAACAGAGCTTGGCAGAGGAAATAGTTCTGAACCCTTCCTATGGGAAATGAAACTCCTCTCACGGGCAATTGGGGTGCATATAATTCTTAGAAATTTTCTTACATTTTGGAAAATTTCTATCAAGTATTTTCAGACATGAACTGTTACAGATAAACCTTCTATCATACAGCTACTACAGTTGTGTTCTTTACAAACTTAGGAGTCCTTCTAAATTATTTATTTAGAAAGAAAGAAAAAATATGGAAATCTAGCATGTATATGATTTTTATGCTACATTACTGAATGACAGAAAAAGGGATCAATTTTCATTAGGCATCAGTAAGAACTAATTCCTCACACTGACAATGTTATTTATGTGATAAATAGAAGAATAGTCCAAAGATTAGCTTCTGACTCTGTATGTCTCAAATCCTATTTCTCTTCCACAAATACATACTGCTGTTGCCAAACAACAAAAACTATGTTAATACAAGACTACGTGATTTTGTGTCACATTGTAGGTATGTTGACACACACTGGACAAAATAAATATTTCTGAAAGTTATTTGTACAAGAGGATAGCTGACTATTTTTTAAAAATCTGAATATAGAAATGTCTGTAGCCATATCACTCTCTAAAAATTAACTGTATCTCCAACTCAAATCCTCCTTAGTCAAATCCCACTAATACTCTAGCCTATACAATGTATGCCAGCAGCATAATAAGAAGTGTGACAGACTTTTTAATGATCACCTTTCTAACTGGTGTGAGATGATATCTCATTGTGGTTTTGATTTTCATGTCTCTAATGACTAGTGATGATGAGCTTTTTTTCATATGTTTGCTGGCCATATAAATGTTTTCTTTTCATAAGTGTCTGTTCATATCCTTTGCCCACTTTTTAATAGGTTTGTTTGTTTTTTTCTTGTAAATTTGTTTAAGTTCCTTGTAGATTCTGGAAATTACCTTTGTTAGCTGTATAGATTGTGAACATTTTCTCCCATTCTGTAGGTTGTCTGTTCACTCTGATGATAGTTTCTTTTGCTGTACAGAAGCTCTTTAGTTTAATTAGATCCCATTTGTCAATTTTGGCTTTTATTGCAATTGCTTTTGGTGTTTTAGTCATGAAGTCTTTGTGCATGCCTATGCCCTGAATGGTATTGCCTAGGTTTTCTTCCAGGGTTTTTATGGTTTTAGGTTTTAAATTTAAGTTTATAATCCATCTTGAGTTAATTTTTGTATAAGGTGGAAGGAAGCGGTGCAGTTTCAGTTTTCTGCATATGGCTAGCCAGTTTTCCCAACACCATTTACTAAATAGGGAATCCTTTCCCCAATGCTTTTGTCAGGTTTGTCGAAGATCAGATGGTTGTAGATGTGTGGTGTTATTTCTGGAGAGGATGTGGAGAAATAGGAATGCTTTTACACTGTTTGTGGGAGTGTAAATTAGTTCAACCGTTATGAAAGACAATGTGGCAATTCCTCAAGGATCTAGAACAAGAAAGACCATTTGACTCAGCAATCTCATTACTGGGTATATAACCAAAGGATTGTAAATCATTCTATTATGAAGACACTTGCACACGTATGTTTATTGCAGGACTATTCACAATAGCAAAGACATGGAACCAGCCCAAAGCCCATGAATGACAGACTGGATAAAGAAAATGTGGCACATATACACCATGGAATGCTATGCAGCCATAAAAAAGAATGAGTTCATGTCCTTTGTAGGGAAATGAATGAAGCTGGAAACCATCATTCTCAGCAAACTAACACAGGAACAGAAAACCAAACACCACATGTTCTCATTCATAAGTGGGAGTAGAACAATGAGAACATACAGACACATGGAGGGGAACATCACAGACTTGGGCCTGTTGTGGGGACAAGGGGAGGGAGAGAATTAGGACAAATACCTAATGCATGCAGGGCTTAAATCCTACATGACTGGTTGATGGGTGCAGCAAACCACCATGGTACATGTATACCTATGTAACAAACCTGAACATTCTTCACATGTATCCCAGAACTTAGAGTATAATAAATTACAAAAATAAGTGTGACAGAAGGGTAGTTTGGGTGGAAAAAAGATAGCAACCATAATGAGTTCAAATTAAAATACTTAAGCAAATTTTAAAAAATATATGAAATATAAACAATACATAATCCTGTGAATTCATTTCTACGAAGACCACCACCTAGGATCTTGGAAAAGGTCTGGAAAAACAGGTGGCCCTGAAGTTTGCATCTGAATGTAATCTTATTTTTTTTCCTTTGCCCCCAACTGATTGACTTATTTACTTCTACTTTTGTATTGCCTACCTCTATTAATAAGATCATCTCAGGCTCAAGATAGAACCCTCAAACTCATGCCTTATTTCTACCTATCATTTTTTTTTTCTTTTATCCAGGCTGTCAGAGAATTATTTATGTCTCTCTCAAACATTTTATAGACCCTATTTTTTGTCATTCTTTTTAATATACCTTATTCCTAGTCCTTTCTCTTGCTTAGAATGGTAGAAAATTGCTATACTCTCACTGAATTCTCATACTGATGCTAGAGTCACCTAGCATCAAGGAAGAGTTGCTCATATTATTCCCACACAAAACGCTGAAGGAGAATAAAGTTTAAACTACTCAGCAAGGAGTGGAAAGAGCATACCAAATTGTTTTTATTTTCCAGCTACTTTACCAAATGTGGCATGGTAAAATCTTTCAAATATCTATGCCTTGTGTTTATTCATTTCTTACACAGAATTTTTTTTTATCCTTTTATGATTTGACAAACTCCTGACATCTATCAAGAGCTAGGTCTTATGTCATCATCTGCTTCATGAAGAAGGATCATTTTTCTTCTCTCAT
This sequence comes from Homo sapiens, assembly GCF_000001405.40. Taxonomy (NCBI): domain Eukaryota; kingdom Metazoa; phylum Chordata; class Mammalia; order Primates; family Hominidae; genus Homo; species Homo sapiens. Next base: position 102,254,890 of record NC_000006.12, on the reverse strand, counting down.
GTCACAGACTTACTTTGTGTTTTCAATGTAATGGTATTTGTATGATATTGCTTTATACTATGATTCAATATTTTTGTTACACGAACTCTAAATTTAGAGACTGTGCCTTGTTGCCATTTATGTTTGAAGTACCTAGTAAAAATTTCATTAACTACTTCTTTAATAAATGACATAATTTCCTTACATTTAATAACACGTTGAATGCCATTTCATTTTTCTAGTGTTTGAGTCATCTTGCCAATCTGATTCTAAATTTTTGTGTGTGGAAAAAAGTTTCAGACCAAGTAAGTCTTTGTATTCCTATAATTTTGAACATATGTCTATTTTGTCTTTATTTTTCATCACTAAAAAGAAACAAACACACAAATAACTATAATAAGACAAATGTTAACAGGAGTGGACATTCGAAAGGATGAATAGTGTGCACTTAATGGACTTTGCTATTAATTACCGTGTAGATCTAGGTACCTTAGAGTGTAATAAATTATCATTATTCAACTTGCTATATGCCAAATGTTTAAAATTACTCTAATTGTCATATTTGATATGAAAATATAAACCCAAGTCCATTAGTCAAAAGGGAGTTAGGGAAAAGGGACTGCCATTTATTTAGCATTGTATTTTCACTAGCCAATATATAAAGGTTTTAAGTTGTTTGATGGTATTTTAATGATATCAATGCAAAAGGAAATATCTTTAGATACAATGGATGTTATTTTAGGTAATAATAAATGAATATAGGCAGTAGACACTGAGAGATGACAAATAGTGAATAAGAACAATAAGAAAGATAATGACACACATTTGAGAGATTAACAAAGGTAGAATAATCTGTACTCCAGGACAGATTAGATGCGGTACTGACATGGACCAAAATGGAAAAAGGCAAATGTCACATTCAAGGTATTCCTTTTTGAGGTTGAACTTACTATTTAGAATGGAGTGTAATTTGGCAAAAAAAATTAATGGCATCTCAAAAAAGATGATCAAAAGAAAATGAATAATAGTTCCTTCTCAGTGGAGTAATAGTGCTATGACCCATTTCACTTCTGTTTCTTTTACAGTTCTGTTCTCTTTGCTCTAAGGACTGCATTGTCTTTTTGAATCTCTTCTACTTTATGGATCTAGATTGAGATATATCTATTCCTCTCATCTTTACTCTTGTACGTTATTACAATTTTTTGTTAACCTGAATTGAAATATGGTTTCATTTCACACACAGGATAGCACAACCAAGTTGAAATATGGTATCAATTGGGTTAAAACAGGTGAGTTATTACAGCCACAATACAGGATCATACAGAAAGACCAAGTCTGGCATGGTAAGCGGCCAAGTGGACTAGAAGCCGGGGAGATGTTTAGAAGCTTGAATATATTTGTTTTTCCTTCAACAGAAACCAGAAAGAGAATATAGGATTAGGAATACATCACAAGTGAAGATTCCAGAAAACTGTTCAAAGGGAGAAAAGATGGTAGTAATGCAATACTGGACTCCTGAATACCCAATGGAAAGTTCAGTGTCTAGAAATACTGACTACACAGCAAAATCCTCATGTGTCATCAACCTCCATACAATACAGAAGCAAAATTAATTTCTACCACCAAATATTTACTTACCGCAAAAATTAACCTGCAAGAGTGACTGAACCCAAAGTATGTGAATTCTTTTAGGCATTGTAACAAAATAGAAATACATATTGCAGCATGTTTTCTAACCTCAGTAAACTTTAAATCCAAGAAAATGGCCCAAAATATAATAATAAAACATGCAAATAGTAATATGTAACATGAGAGAAGACTAAACAGAGAGTAAAAGGAAAAGCAGTCCCATTATGTGCCTTTAAGCAAGAAAGCCAAAGAAACAAGTATTATCAAATTCTACCTTTTTTTACTTGTATGTAACAAAGAAAATGTTACATCATTCACATTTATTGCACTTTCTGTATACCGAAGTTGAGATAAGTGGTAGTGAATGTAGAGACTTACCCTATATTTAAAAAGAAATGTAGCCATAATGATTAATTTTTTGTAGCAACTTGACTAGGCCCCAAAATGCCCATTTGTTCAAATGTTATTCTGGTGTATCTTTGAGAGTATTTCTTGATAAGATTAATATTTGAATCTGTAGACTGAGTAAAACAGATTAACCTCTCTAATGGGGGTGGGCCTCATCCAATAAATTGAAGACCTAAATAGAACAAAAAGGCTGAGTAAAGGTCCTGTGTGACTGCTTTGAGCTGGGACATCTGTCTTCTCCTGCCTTCAGGCTCAAACTAAGACATCAGCCTTTCTTGGGTCTTATTCCTGCCAGCTTTCAGACTGAACTATACCATCAGCTCTCCTGGATCCCTAACTTGCAAACTGTACATCTTTGGAATTCTCAGGCTCTGTGATCACATGAGCAAGTTTCTTATAATAACTAACTCAATAGCCTATTGGTTCTACTTCTCTGGAGAACCTGACTAATGCAGCCTGGTTCCAAATACCGTGTTCTCTGATTTTTCCCTAAATGTTTATTGTTGTTGTTGTTTGTTTTTTTGTTTTCTTTTTGCATATAGCTGGATACATACATACACATATACTAACTATATAGATTCTAACTATATGAATCACTTTGGTACACCTAATGACAAATTGGAAAGAATGTGCATCTTTTTTTTTTGGTTCTAGTATTCAATGCCTTCCTTTCTATCTTTTAAGACTCATTTATTTTTTTATTTTATTATGACTTTTTTTGAGACGGATTCTCACTCTGTCACCCAGGCTGGAGTGCTGTGGCACAATCTCGGCTCACTGCAACCTCCGCCTTCTGGGTTCAAGCAATTCTCTGCCTCAGCCTCCCGAGTAGCTGGTATTACAGGTGCCAACCACCACCACCCTAGCTAACTTCTTTGTATTTTTAGTAGAGACGAGGTTTCACGCTGTGGGTCAGGTTGGTCTTGAACTCCTGACCTCGTGATTCACCTGCCTCCACCTCCCAAAGTGTTAGGATTACAGGCGTGAGCCACCGCACCCAGCCAAGACTCATTTTACATAGAAAACCCTGCTTTTTTTTTATTGTCTGTACTAATTTTTGTTGAATCTACACTTGCTTTATAATGCTTTATTTGCTATCGCTTACAATGAATGCCTATAAATCTTATTGTTTGTGTTTTTATATGGCATAGCACTTGAATCCATATGCCATCACATTTCTCCTTAAGTAGATGGTAAATTGATATTTTAAGCCACCAATCAATCTCAGTATATTACAAATAAAATGTAATAATGTAATATTTTCTTAATTAGCTATCATATTAAAATGGTAAAACTTGGTAATATTTGGTGTTCTCTTATTTAGCTGTTTTATTCATCTTGTTTTTAATCAGAAAGCAAATAGGGTGCTCTTTGATTCCTTACCTGACACTACATACTGTATACATAGCTATGTATGTGTGTGTGTATGTGCACACGTGTCTTTATAACCACACATATTGTTGCATGTCAATTTATAATAATTACTTAAGCTAACTGTTATAAATATGAATTTCTAACCATAGAAAGCAATCCTGACTGGCTAAGGCAAATGCAAACCAGCTCTTTAATACTTGCCTGTCTTCCACTATAAAGGCTATAAAAAGCTAGGTAATTGCTTTGGTAGACTCTCTTATAGCTAGTGGTGCCAATGTGACACTTGTACCTACAATATGTAAAGAAATCTTATAATTTAGTAATAATAAGGGGAAACAATGCATAAAAGCAGATAAAATATTTGAACGAATATTTCATAAAAGACGTAAGTGGGCAATAAACACATTTTAAAATGATAAACATTAGACATCTGAGAAATACATATTAAAACCAAATTGAAATATTACTACACATCCACTAGGACTGACACTATCATGTGTTGGCGAGATTGCGAGGCAATTGGAATTTCATTTATTATTGCTTGGATGATAAAATTGTACAACCACTTTGGCAGATTATTATAATCATAATGTGTTAGGCCTTTCTCATGTTGCTGTAAGTAAATATGTGAGACCGCATAATTTACAAGGAAAAGAGGTTTAATTAGCTGGTGGTTCCACAGGCTGCACAGGAACGATGCTGTCATCTGCTTGACTTCTGGGGAGGTGTCAGGAAACTTCCAATCATGGCAGAAGGGGAAGGGGGAGCAGGCATGTCACATGGCTGGAGCAGCAAGAGAGAGAGAAAGGGGAGGTGCTACACACTTTTAAGCAACCAGATCTCCTGAGAACTCACTCACTATCACAAGAATAGCACCAAGAAGATAGTGCTAAACAATTCATGAGAAACTGCTTCCGTGATCTAATCACCTCCCACCAAACCTCACCTCCAACATTGTGGATTACAGTTCGACATGAGATTTGGGGAGGGACACAGATCCAAACCATATCAGTTAAACATACACTTACCATTATATACGAGCAATTTCACTGATAGGCATTTTCCCAAAAGAAATTAAAATATGTGCTCAAAAAAGACTGGTAAATGAATGTTTCTAACAGTTATTTTTTAATAGCCCCAAATGGAAAACAATTCAAATGCTCATCAACAAATAAATAAATAAATACAGGTAGAGTCATTTAATTAAAATTAAAGTCAAAAGGAATGACTTACTGATAAATACAGCACTATGAACAAATTAAAAAACATTATGTTGCACAAAAGAAGCCAGTCAGAGAAATGGTACCTACTGTACGATTTCATTAATATGAAATTTTAAAATCCTCAAAGTTAACCTATAGTGATAGGAAACAAAGCAGTGGTTACCAAGGGTCAGAGTGAAAGTGAGATTAACTGTGAAGAGGCAAAGGACATTTCTCGGAGTGAAGGAAATATTCAATATTTTGATTACAGTGGTAGCTACCAAAGTACATTTATTTGTCAAAATGAATCACAATATACATTTAAAATAGGGTACATTTTATTATAGGTAAATTATAGCTCAACAAAGTTGATTTAAAAGATAAAAATAATCATAGAACATTATTAGTCAGATTATCTGATATTTATAACTATTATATGTCATAAATAAAGCATTAGGTTTTAAGATGCTCTTCTTTAATATGCATTTATAGATTTTGATCTCTCTAGTTAAACATCTGTGTTAAATAGGATCATAAAATGTGTATTGTATGTGTATATGTTTTCATTTTTACCATTTCTACTATCAGAATTTAGCCAAGTATTTGAGGAGGAATAGAAATTAGTTTAACTATAGGTTTCTCTTATTTTAAATTTTGTCGAATAAGACTATTAAAAGCCAATATGAACTTCAAGAATATTCATCCCCACGGAAGCTTTTTAGTCTGCTTCAGGAGGTGAATACAAATGCAATAGTAATGTAACAATAATTGTGATAGAGGAAGTATGCACACTTCTACAGCTGATAGAAGAGTAAAATGCTTTACACTCATGCAACTACAGTAATTGGTTTGTTCTGCTCTGAGTTCAATTTAAAATGGCAATTATTTTTGAATGTGTGATTTAAGTCTTTCAAGATACATTACAGTGAAAAGGAAAAGGCTTTAGAATTGAAATGTAGACTCACACAACTAGTTATGGAGGAGAAAATTAGTGTCCATGAGATAACACTTGAACTTTATGTAGTGACTTCAATCAAGAATGAATTTGAATTTTTAGAATGTATTATAAAAGCATATGAATATATAAGACCAACCATTTAAAAATGACTTTTAACTTAAAGTTAAACTGTAATTAAAGAGAGTAAATGAGGTCTCATTCAATATGGTCAGCTGCACCACACTCTGAATACAAAAATGTCTATCTAAGTCTGTTCCAAGTGTTTTTAAATTCATGTTTTTGCAACTGTATCATTTTATATTGCAGGTAAGACTACCTAGGTTAAATGATCTCAGATTTATTCCTTTTTATCACAAATATGTGCAAATGTCATGTTTTAATTACAGAGATTTTATGTTTTAGTATCAATCTTTTCCCACTTCATTGATTCTCTTTTATCATAATTTCCCTTTTTATCCACGCAAATTTCTTCCAAATGAACTTTGTAATCCATTGCTCTAGCTCGGAAGAAAATTCTGGTTATGACTTAAAGATAAGTGATATTTTTATGACATTATATCTACCTATCCAGGAACATAGTATGTCTTTGCATTTGTTCAAGTCTTCTGCCTTTCAAGAGCACTTTATTATAGGTCTCATATATGTTTTCCACATTTTTTATTAAGTTTGCATTTACAGTTTTTATTCTGTTTTGTTTTCAAATTCTCTTTTCTGTTATCTGTAGACAAATTTTCATCATTCCTTTAAAAAATTTTTGTTGTTATGTTGATTTTATAATTTCTTATATTATTAATTCTCTTTGATTTTTTTGTGGTGGTTTTCCCTTGAATTCTTTGTATTTTCCACATACAATTATACCATCTAACCTTTCCAATTATTATGCCTCTAATTTGTTTTGTTGTGTCAAATGGCATTCTGTAATACCTCCACATAACACCAAATAGGAAGATAATGAGCATCCCTGTCTTACTCCTAATTACGTCATTTCCCAACTAAGATACTGCTTTTCATACCAAATATACATATTAATTTATATGTAATGTATAAATATTTATAGTGTGTATTACACATATGAAAATATTTGTCTATTCTTATTGAGGCTTTTGTAATAGAAAAAAGTATTGGATGTTGACAAATGCCTTATCTAGATTAATGAAGATAATATGACTTTTTCCTACTGAGCTCTATTAATATTTTAATTATATTCATTGATTTCAAAATATTGAACTAACTTTGCATTTTTTTCTTTTTTATTATTATGCTTCAAGGTTCTGGGATACATGTGCAGAACATGCAGGTTTGTTACATAGGTATACACGTGCCATGGTGGTCTGCAACACCCATCAACCCATCACCTACGTTAGATATTTCTCCTAATGCTATCGCTCCCCTAGCCACCCACCCCGAAAGGGCCGCAGTGTGTGGTGTTTCCCTTCCTGTGTCCATGTGTTCTCATTGTTCAACTCCCACTTATGAGTAAGAACATGTGGTGTTTGGTTTTCTATTCTTGTGTTAGTTTGCTGAGAATGATGGTTTCCAACTTCATCCATGTCCCTGGAAAGGACATGAACTCATCCTTTTTTATGGCTGCATAGTATTCCATGGTTTATATGTGCCACATTTACTTTATCCAGTCTATCACTGATGGGCATTTGGGTTGGTTCCAAGTCTTTGCTATTGTGAACAGTGCTGCAATAAACATACTTGTGCATGTGTCTTTATAGTAGAATGTTTTATAATCCTCTGGGTATATACCCAGTAATGGGATTGCTGGGTCAAATGGTATTTCTAGTTCTAGATCCTTGAGGAATCAGCACACTGTCTTCCACAATGGTTGAACTAATTTACATTCCCACCAACAGTGTAAAAGCATTCCTATTTCTCTACATCCTCTTCAGCCTCTGTTGTTTCTTGACTTTTTAATGATCACCATTCTAACTGGTGTGAGATGGTATCTCATTATGGTTTTGATTTGCATTTCTCTAATGACCAGTGATGATGAGCTTTTTGTCATATGTTTGTTGACTGCGTAAGTGTCTTCTTTTGAGAAATGTCTGTTCATATCCTTTGCCCACTTTTTGATGGGTTTTTTTTTTCCTTGTAAATTTGTTTAAGTTCTTAGAAGATTCTGGATATTAGACTTTCGTTAGATGGATAGATTGCAAAAATTTTCTCCCGTTCTGTAGGTGGCCTGTTCATTCTGATGATAGTTTGTTTTGCTGTGCAGAAACTCTTTAGTTTAATTAGATGCCATTTTTCAATTATGGCTTTTATTGCCATTGCTTTTGGTGTTTTAGTCATGAAGTCTTTGCCCACTCCTATATCCTGAATGGTATTGCCTACATTTTTTTCTAGGGTTTTTTATTGTTTTAGGTCTTACATTTAATCTTCAATCCATCTTGAGTTAATTTTTGTATGAGGTGTGAGGAAGGGGTCCAGTTTCTGTTTTCTGCATATGGCTAGGCAGTTTTACCAACAGCATTTATTAAATAGGGACTCCTTTCCCCATTGCTTGTTTTTGTCAGGTTTGTGAAGGATCTGATGGTTGTAATCTGTGGCACTATTTCTGAGGCCACTGTTCTGTTCCATTGGTCTATGTATCTGTTTTGGTAGCAGTACCATGCTCTTTTGCTTACTGTAGCCTAGTAGTAGAGTTTGAAGTCAGGTAGCATGATGCCTCCAGCTTTGTTCTTTTTGCTGAGGATTGTCTCGGCTATGCAGGCTCTTTTTTGGTTTCACATGAAATTTACTGTAGTTTTTTCCAATTCTGTGAAGAAAGTCAATGGTAACTTGATGGGTATAGAATTGAATGTATAAATTACTTAGGGCAGTATGGGCATTTTCATGATATTGATTCTTCCTATCCATGAGTATGGAATGTTTTTCCATTTGTTTGTGTCCTCTCTGATTTCCTTGAGCAGTGGTTTGTAGTTCTCCTTGAAGAGGTCTTTCACATCCCTTGTAAGTTGTATTCCTAGGTATTTTATTCTCTTTGTAGCAATTGTGAATGGGAGTTTTCTTATGATTTGGCCCTCTGTTTGTGTGTTATTGGTGTATAGGAATGCTTGTGATTTTTGTACCTTGATTTTGAGACTTGCTGAATTTGCTTATCAGCTTAAGGAGATTTGGGGCTGAGACGATGGGGTTTTCTAAATATACAATCTTATCATCTGCAAATAGAGACAGTTTGACTTCCTCTTTCCCTATTTGAATATCCTTTACTTCTTTCTCTTGCCTGATTGCCCTGGCCAGAGCTTCCAATACTGTGTTAAATAGGAGTGGTGACAACAGGACATCCTTGTCTTGTGTACCTTTGCATTTTTAGAATAACCCCACCTGGTCATGATGTATGAAGATTATATAAATGTAATATTTAAATAGAATTAGTTGATAAAATATGCACCAAACAATATCAAATTAATATCAAATTTCAATATGAAGTTGGATTAATTTTGCTAATAATTAAATAGAAAATTCTACAGATATATTTCCATCTTTGAGAAGCTAAAATCCATTATCCTATCTTTTAGAACAGGCCAAAACCAGCAAGTTAATTAAAAATAAAATTTCTATCTTTAAATCAATAGATTTTGGGGAAATTTTTAAAAAATTCTAATGTAAAAATCCAGCGAACCAAGCCAATATGATGTTGGCCAAATATTAAGAAACCAGAGTTTTAGATGACTATTGACAAGAAACCCACAGCATGTTCTCTCAAACATATTATGCTCGTCCTGTTAAAAACAATTGTGTGCTTGGTAAGAGATTAGGCTGATGACTTTTCATTCAGGAAGGATGTATAATTTAGAAACCAGGTGGAGATTGACTTTTTTGTAGCTGCACTTGGAGGAATTTTCTGGCCGCTAATTTGGAGAGCATTGACTAGAAGTAGCATACTTAAAAGTTCTCATCTTTTATTGAATCTCATATTTCTTGATCAAACATATCACCAATTTGTCAGAATAGCAAAGTAACTTGATTATTTACTCTCACTTGTTTTAAGATTTGTCTCTGAATTAATCAAGACCTTTATTAACAATTTCTCATTGCCACTGATCACATCATGTGGAGTTTAATCAGAGGGATTTCTTAATTATTTATAACTATGAGGTTCTCTTCAAATCTCCTTGGTGACATTCAACTGTTTTTATTCATTTGTTTAACCCTTGATCAATGTAGGTAAAATTTTGTTTGCTTTTCCCCTTTCTTGATAGCAAAAGAAAACAAAAACACACCAAAACAAACAAACAAACAAACAAAACAAGAAAAACTCAATGCAATAGTACTTGGAAAAACAATGTATAAACTTAATTTTTTAATAAGAGAAGTGTATGAACTGAATTTAAATACATGTCCTTAAATAATAAAGGAATGTGCAGCATTTAAAAATAGTAATAACTATTAATATATGCCATGAATATTCATTATAGAAGTAACTCTTTCAATAAGAGACTTATCTTCAGATTAATTTCACTGGAAATTAACTATTTTTCCCAAGGTCCTAAAATAATAAGTTGCTCTGCACAAATTCAAATTTATGCTCACTCTAGAGAAGGCAGGTTGTGTGGATAAACTGTATCAAGAAAAATAAAGCAGAGGCTTGCATAAACAAAGTTATACATATACTGATTGATAAATATCTCTATTAAACACAAAAACAAAATGAAGTCAAACAAACAAAAAAGAGAGAGCCCTGGACACATAATCAAATAGAAAAAGGTAGAAACAAAGCAAAAATTAAAACGGATCATGAGCTGCCAGTGGCCTTTAAATGTGACAGTGTAAAGGCTACATTCTTAGGCTTACCTTGGCTACTTGGTAATTCTGTAATTTAAAAAAAAAATGAAAAATACAGATACATCAATAAAAATAAAGGCTAGAGTAAACTGGAGAGCATAATATAGAGAGCTTAATGACCTATGGTGAGCAAGATAATTCTCTATTTTAGCTGTAGCATTTCAAGAAGAGGCAGAGACCACTGGAGTTCCACAAGCATTACTATTTAAGCTTATTAGAAAATAACTGGAAAAACAGATGACAAAATATGGAAGAAATGAAAAAATAAAATTATTATTCACTTATTCAATGTATAACTTTTTTTTTTTTTTTTGAGGTGGAGTCTCGCTCTTTCTTCCAGGCTGGGGTGTAGTGGGGCGATTTTGGCTCACTGCAACCTCTGCCTCCCAGGTTCAAGCAATTCTCCTGTCTCAGCCTCCCAAATAGCTGGGATTACAGCCCCCTGCCACCATGCCCACCTAATTTTTTTTGTGTTTTTAGTAGAAATGGGTTTTCATCGTGTTGGCCAGGCTGGTCTCCAACTCCTGACCTCAAGTGATCTGCCCACCTCAGCCTCCCAAAGTATTGGGATTATAGGCGTGAGCCATAGCACCTGGCCTTCAGTGTATAACAGTTAAGCACTAAATATTTCAGGCACTGTTTTAGGTTCTGGGGAGGATGATGTATAAGACAGAATCCTTGCTAATTAACCCCATTCTTGAGGTGTGACTTCTATGTTGATCACAGAACATGAAGAAATAGTTGACTTCCAACCATTATGTGTGTGTGTGTGTATATATATATATATGTACACATATACATATATATACATATACATATATATATACACATATATATACACACACACACACATATATGTATGTATATATATATATATCCACTAAACTTCAAATCCTTTCTGTTCTCACTGTTAGCATCACACAGGGCCTTGGTAGTTGCAGAGAAAGGGAAGATATTCTGTAAACACTTTAGATATCTTGCACAAGCATTCTGGCATCATCTCAGAAATATTCAGAAATTCTCCCATTTACCAGGTGTGGAAAGAGAATGGAGAAGGACAAGTAAAAATAATTCCAAGGAATAACCTTGACCTATAGGAAAACATATTGGAACATTTACTTCTATACTCTCCAGAGGAGAGACTAGGAACAGTCACCAAAATAAAGCTGATAATTAGTAATCCTAACTCACTAGGGGCTAAAAAATAGTAAAGTCAGAGTCACATGTTAGGTGGGTGTTTTAGTCCATTTTCACAATGCTATAAAGAAATACCTGAGACTGGGTGACTTATAAAGAAAAGAGGTTTAATTGACTCAATGTTCTGCATGGCTGGAGAGGCCTCAGGAAACTTACAAACATGCCAGAAGGCAAATGGGAAGCAAGGCACATCTTACATAGCAGTAGGCAAGAGAGTATGTGAAGGAGGAACTGTTCAACACTTATAAAAGCACCATACCTCAGGAGAACTCGCTACCATGAGAACAGCATGGGGAAAACAGCCCCAGTGGTCCAATCACCTCCCATCAGGTTCCTACCTCAACACATGGGGATTATGGGGATTACAATTCAGATGTGATTTGGTTAGGGACACAGAAACAAACCATATCAGTGGTAATACAAAAATCAGGAGACACATAGAAATGTTAAAATTTAAAAAAAGGGGAAAGGGAGTAGAAGGAGGAGGGCTTGCAGAAGAATGAAGAAACTAGAATCTAGAAGGAACTTATTCATGTGATGATGGAGTGGGGACAATTAGTTATCCTCATATTTAAAAAGAAAAATCTTTCACCCTGAGTCTTGATTTATCAACTCAAAGTAACCTTTGAGAAAAATATTCATATAGTCTTGTTCTATTTTTAGTGCTGCAGTTTTGGTTATGGTGAACTCAATGCAGTATAGATGTCCAAGTTCTAATTTTTTTAGGAGAGAAAGTTTGGATATAGTAATTATTTCTATGGTTTTACCGGTTATCAAATTACTGGCTCTTCATTAATATTCACCCTTTTTTTTTCTCCTTTGCAATACTCGATATGGGCTATGGCACACCATTGGCTTCCAGAGAATTTTTGCAATACTTTATTGAGTAGATTCCCAACAACTCTAGCCAGCACCCCAGTGGGACGCTTTCTGCTCTCCACTACAGCAAATTTCTCTTCAGTTAACTTTGTTATGAAGTGTGCTAAAGCAATAAGCTCTGTTTTAGGGTATTGGAGGTAAGAGGTTAAAATTGATTTAACACATTTTAACTTTAGCTTCAGATACTAGAGGTAGGAGGTTGGTGACTCTCCCAAGTCTTTTTCTTCCTTAGGTAATCTACTTCAGCCCCAGTAGTTCTGACTGTACCTTCATATCTGCTATTCCTGTTTCTTATAAATGTATGTTTATTTTTATTAGTAGCTAATTCCCCTTTACTATTTAACACATTGACATTGAATTTTCCCTGTTCAAATTACTGGTATAATTTTGCCTCCTGATGGGACCTTGATTGATATAATAAGGATGCAAATATTTATTATTAATAGATTGTTCTGTGTTAGTTATTTGAGATTAACAATTGTTCCTGCTTTTTCTAATTATTTTCCCCACCCCATCATAATAAAATCAGATGAATCACTCGGTCTTCTTTACCTTAGAGGAAGGATGCACCAGGACAAAAAGTATAATTAAAACTAAATTTGCTGTGCCAAACTGCTTAATCTATAGCAAGCTGCAAAAGATTTCTAATATAGATTAAAAGGCTGTAGAATTAACACAAGGTTAAAGTATTCCCTTATACCCTACATATGCCAACTCTCAGTCTAGATAAAAATGTTACCTTTTGTTTAAGATAAAAAGTACAGAAAGAAAAGGATGAGGGAAGAAATGGAACTGTGCCCCAAGGCCTTGACTGTTTAAAAATTTCTCTGTTGCATTTATGACTGAAAGGAAATTTGACTGGAAAATTATTGAGTTCAATGCTAATTCATTCAGACCTTACTTAACTTTTTTGAATGTGTATATACAGGCTATGCAGCCATCTGACACATTCTCTTTTATGGACTTGATGTTTTTTCCTTCATGCTTAAAAAAAGAAAAAAACTTAGTCAAAATCTAAGTAATGTTGATTAGATTGAATTGAATTTTTCATTAGCGTGATATATTGTCTTAAATGTGTAGATTCTGTTATTTCTTCATTTAAGACAACTTTTTATCTATAACACTTTTAAGATTGTTGGTATATAATCTTTTATCTAGTTATAAAATACTCTCAGCCTCTGTGATCTGTCTCGATTACCTGTCTTTGAAAACTACTATCTCCTCCAATTGTTTTTTTCTTTGCTGTGCATTTATCATTACCAAGAACCTTTTCTAATTATCTGATTGAGTTTTCTGCCTGGTGATTTTTGTTCCTCTATTGATTATATAATAATAATCTCTTTGGAGTCAAATACATTTTTTAATTATATAATTTTGCTTTTTCATCCTAATCAGTTTTCTTTTAATTGATTTTGCAATCCTTATTGCATCACCTTTTCCATTGCGTTGAGTTAGAAGTATCTATTAGAGGAGGAAAATACTTTCTTTCTTCAATATATCACTTCTACAAAAGATTCTTTCCTTCTTTACCATGCAATGTTATTTATCAGTTCATTCCCATTTTAAGTTATGTTAATATGTAAATGTTTTGCTGACTCTCCCATTACATATATTTTCTTCGAATTCATCTTTGACGTGGGTAATTCAGTCTTGTTTTATTTTGGGCCCAAATTCATTGTTGATGGCTAATCCTTGATTCAATTTCTTAATGTTCTTTGTGACTTCTTCACATAGTCTGTTTATAGTCAGAATTAATTATGAAGTATATAAATAGTTTCTTCAAATTTGATGTCATATATTTCAAACACTCAAAGACTATATACAGAGAGAGTGCTGGGAAGGCACATGAACCTGATAAAAACACATTTATCCTCGGAAAATTAATGATCTGAATAAGGTAGTATGAAACTACCAAAAGGACTTTACAAGTCTTGAGGAGAGCCAATACTGTTTTTTTTTTTTTTAATACAGAGAATATCAAGCTCAATTTGATGCAGAAGTTTTTTTTTTCCTGTCTGGGTTCAGGCTTTCCTGAAGGTAGTTGAATCCATGGTCTTAACTTAGCTGCAGAGATTATCCCCACCACTGCTTCCCTTGATGTTTCACACTTGAATAATTAGAAAGGTGCTTTAACGAAAAGTTGGAGCTGTGGATTTAGATAATATTGGAGAAAACTCCCAGTAAATTGCAAATATCTTTGGGAAGTGGTCTCATGTTAAGTCATCCATTAAAATATTAGTTTGGATTTAGAAAATCATAATGAAGCAGTGTATGTGTTTATTAGGATTATGAGTGAGATCTTTATAAAGTACCTCTCTAAATTACACTATAAAGTAGACCAGTGTGTTTAGAAAAGTGTGCGTAGCATATTTTGTCGTAAATGTACCATCTAACTCCTTAGACAAAGACTTCACTATTGACAAATTAGATATTATATAGCATTTGTTTAGCAAAAGTATATGATATCTTATATTTCTATTACCTTATTTCTAATCAACAACATTTTTAGATGTAAGGTTAGTGAATAAAATAAAATATAAAACTTGATTATAATATAAAAAGAAAAAATGCAGAAAAGAAAAATAAATCACCAACAAGAGAAAGCTCTATTAGCTTTGATGTATTTATTGCTAGACTCCCTCTTTTTCCAAGTTTAATGTGATATTTGCTTTTAATTACCATACATTATAACATAAGAATGTTGCAAGGTTATTACAAATTCTCAAGTATGTTGCTCCATCCTAAGATCTTACCTTTATCCATTTTATTACTGTTGGTTATTATAAAATTATTAGTGTAAATAAAACTACAATGCATGTTGTAGAGCATAATCTTTTGTTAAAATGTAATTTTCAAAATGTTAAAATATGAGTATCATGCAAATATAATCAATCACTCATCAAATATTTTATTCAACTTGTTGATCAATGAGGAAACCATTAAGATGTTAAGTACTGCAAAGGAAAATTTGAAAACCAGAGATAAATAAAAACAATTAGAAATGTTCAACTTAATATGTTAATAATGTAATTTTGTTTAATATCCTCTGAGAATATAAAATGTAATTGTTAGGGTTATGTTTTTGAGGTGATAAGCCCTTTTTATCTGTAGTGGATGGCATCCATTTGCTTTGCTAAGGATAAGAGTAATTTGTATTATCATTATTCAACAAAACAGCTTGTACACTTACAGAGCTATCAACTAGACTAGACATTAGAATGAAAATCGAAAGTGCAAATGCTTATATCCTAATAAATACTACGGTTCACATCCTAATTAATTTCCTTATATTAGATTATCTTAGAAGAGGCTATTATAAAGTATCTACAAAAGGATACCCAGTAGTCTCTTTTGCCCACATCTAAGTCTCAGAATATTTTTCTGACACCGATTGGCAATTCTAGCTAGTTTCAACAATAGATTTCTCAGGAATAAAATTATCACACTAAATAGAATTAATAAATAAATTAATTAATATACTAAAAAATTTACAAGATGTTTTAACAAATATAACTCCTACTGATATTACTTGAAACTACCTTTTTTTTTTTTTTTTGAGACAGGGTCTCACTCTTTCGCCCAGGCTGGAGTGCAGTGGCGTGATGTCAGCTCACTGCAGCCTCTGCCTCCCAGGTTCAAGAGATTCTCCTGCCTCAGACTCCTAGTAGTGGGGACTACAGGCATGCACCACCACACCTGGCTAATTTTTGTATTGTTAGTAGAGACAGGTTTTCACCATGTTGGCCAGGATGGTCTCGATCTCCTGACCTCATGATCCTCCTGCCTTGGCCTCCCAAAGTGCTGGGATTACAGGTATGAGCCACCGTGCCTGGCCAAAACTATCTTTATTGACATTACTAAATGGAATTAAATATTATAATATTATAATGTTTCCAAATTTTGTTAATTTTCTAGGTATAGAAAAATTTTTAATGATTATTATTTTATTTTATTATTTTCCTGAAGCTGAACATTGAAAAATATTTGAAAGCCCTTTGTATTTTTTATATAGATGTTCTCTTTCTGATCTATGTTTTTTCTAGTTAAGCTTGTATCAGTGTCTTTATTGATTGATATGAATTTATTTATTATAAATATTGATCATCTTCATACTTGTGGCAAAAATTTTTCACCTAAATTAGTGTTGGTCCTTTCATTTTAATTATAAGTTCATTGTGGTTCTGTGGTTATTATTTTGACAGAAACTTTTAAATGTTTATAGGGGCAAATCTGTTAATCTTATTTTGGTTGATTCTGCTTTTAAACACAACAGTAATATTTTCTATATATTGAGTATATAAGAATTATATATAGTAAGTTTAACTCTATTCCACCTGCTACTTTGTGCATGCTGAATATTTGTGTGTATGTTTTGGGCTGATGACCTGGATATGTATTTCCTTCTCAGATAATTCAGTCTCTTGTACAACTATTATTCTTTTGTGCTAATATAAAATTTGTACATGAATTAGTATTTATTTCTGGGAAGTTATGTCAAACTATGCTACTATGGAGTCATGACTACATTGTATTAGCATTGCTCTTCTAAGGAGAAGCTGTTTTCATTGCTTCCTGTTCCATAACATAGTTAAGTACAGTTAGAGGATAAAGGGAAAATTTCTTCCCTACTCAAGGGTGTTTATTTAACCTCCTTGTATTGGAATACACAGAGTCATTTCTCTTTAATTTTACTTATGCTAAACCCAAATCAGAATAAAACAACCCCTGAAAAATCATTCAGAAATGGATCTGTTGGTTTTATCTCAGTCTCATCAATCCATCAACAGAAAGGTAGTCACAAGGACCCCACATATTCCCATTTTGTTTCTCCACCACCTCACATTGAACAAGAGGAAAATAGTCCTCTATTTTTCAAGTAAGAATGTGAAAAATAAAGTAAATATATATTTTAATATATTACGTATGTATATAACTTGTTTATACATTTATGTAAACAGATAATTTATATATTTAGAAATGTACACATGTATCTCTTTATATGTTAATATATTTATATGTTATATGTACATATTATATATAACATACAATATATAATTGCATAAGTTATATAACATTATATGTGATTCCATTTATATATAAATGTTCCATATCTGCCATCGTCTTTTCCTCCTTTCTCTTAATTAACATCAATTACAATATTATGTAACTTCATTTAGCTGAGAAATTTATAAAGAAAAAATTGTATTTCAAAGCAAAAGTAGGTGATTACTTAAAAGAAACAACATGGGAAAAATGTAAAGCAAAATATTCCTTTGGTTTCTATTTTCATCAGCTATGATGGATGTTACAACCTACAAACCCGGAAAGAGAACGCTGGGATGAATGACAATGTTTACTTCTCCCTGTAACAGCAAATATGTGAAAAATTGGTAATTCTAAAACACTATGTAAGAGTGTATATTTTTTCAGAATTGTGAGATTTTAATATATCCATTTATATTTTAAAGGAATCATTTGTCATCCTACCTGGCTGTTGTATTTGGGCTATATGATTATTTCGACTCTGTTGACATTTTCCTGGTTGTAAGGATGTGGCATCTTTCAGGTACTGTGGCACTATATATAGTATCTTAACCATCGTCTCAACTGTGCCATAGATAGAAGGGTCATAACCCACTAGCTTCATAACATAATGTCTCTATGTACCCTAGGGTGTATTTCTTTACTCAAATATTGTTTCTTTGATTGTTCTTCCACAGCCAATGTATTTTTCTAGGGTTCATCTATCACAAAACAATTTACAGTGCCTCCCAAACCTCCACTACCTTGGAACGAATGAATTTATGTTTTCTTTGTCTCAAAGTGAGTGGCTCAAGTAATACCATATCCCTGAGGCCTTGTTCTTTAGGTTCTTTCCATTTAAAGAAAATACATTTAGGTCAGATACTGAAAAAAGGAACTGTGTTTAGATAGCTGTGAGAACTGGTGAAAAATTGCTTGGCAAGCAAACTTTGTTAGCAAAAGTTTGCTGAACTTAAGAGGCTTAAATCTTAAGTCTGCAGCTTTACATCCTTTAAGATTGCAGAATCTGAAAAGTTAATTTTAAGTAAAATAACGAAAATCTTTAATTAATAAAATAATAAAATGTTGTTATGATTTTTCAACTGTGTCAATGATACTTCTCCTCCATGAGTCTAGAAAGAAATGACACATTGTTTTCTCTCCTGTGACATTTTTATTTTATTTCATTTATTGAGACAAAGTTTCACTCTTGTTGCCCAGGCTGGAGTGCAATGGCAGGATCTGGTCTCACTGCAACCTCTGCCTCCTGGGTTCAAGCGATTCTTCCGCCTCAGCCTCCGGAGTAGCTGGGATTACAGAATGTGCCACCACACCTGGCTAATTTTGTATTTTCAGTAGAGACGAGATTTCACCATGTTGGTCAGTCTGGTCTCAAACACATGACCTCAGGTGATCCTCCTGCCTCAGCCTCCCAAAGTGCTGGGATTACAGGCATGAACCACTGCAACCGGTCTCCTGTGACATGTTTAAATGGGCTTAATACGTAATTATATACTTGACCGGCACTACTGGTCTATCGCGTAAGAATGTATTAATATGAAGAACCTCAAGGCACATTAAAAAATTATTTTGCCAATGTAATTTTGTAACCACAGAGTCAGAATGATAAGTCTATATAGTACAGTGGGGTTTTCAAATCATTGTAAATTATTTTGTGGTTAGTTGAAGTTAAATTGCAATTATATTGTCTGATTTTCGTTCCCTGTGTGGTTCTAGGTTAGGCTTGGTCACAAGAGAAATTTGTGCTAGATTTGGAAAGTGGAAGTAAAGGAGCAGTAAGTTTTCCCAACAATCAGGGCAGAGCCAAAGGCATCACTGCAGCTCACATTTACTAATTTGGCTCTGAGGTGGACAACTAGATTACATGTCCTTCTACACCTGCAAGATCTCCTCCTTTAGTTTAAGTCCCAGATTAAGCACATGTGCAGTTCTGTATAAAAGGGCACTTAGTATTTTTTGCAAGTCTTTCATGTTATCAGTGTTAAATATCAGGAGACACTGAAGTGGGTTCCAGCTCATTCTCAGAAATTCCACTTTGTCTTTGTAGATTACAATTTTTGTTTGTTTGTTTTTTGTTTTGTCATCCTGTCTGTTCTACTTTTTCCCTATTTTGCTTGAGCTTATTTTCTTATCTACTTGTATGGCTTACCTACAACACCTTCAGATTAACCACCAGATGCAGATACAGCAGCCTTCTGTAGGCTTCTTCATCAGCAGCTCTTCGGTCTTTGTTTAGTGTCTTTTTTTCCATGTCCAATAAGTCAATGCTACCACCACAGCTGCTCTCAGACTTGTGTAAGATTGAATCCCAATTATATGTTCTTTATTTTATTTTATTTTTATTTTTTGAGACGGACTCTCACTCTGTTGCCCTGGCTGGAGTTCAGTGGTGCATCTTGGCTCACTGAAACCTCCACCTCCCGGGTTCAAGCGATTCTCCTGCCTCAGCCTCCTGAGTAGCTAGGATTACAGGCATGCACTACCACGCCTGGCTAGCACCACACCTGGTCGAACTCCTGACCTCGTGATCTGCCTGCCTCCACCTCCCAAAGTGCTGGAATTACAGGTATGAGCTACTGCGCCCAGCCCCAGTCATATATTCTTAACTGTATTTCACTCATAGTGGTTCTGCCTTTCTACTCTAAGCATACTGACACATTTGGTGACAAGAAAGGGAAACTGAGACTGAGACTGTAGCCAATCATTAAAGTTAATTCCTCATGTTTCCTGGGCCCAAAGCTACAATATATTCCTCAGAATTCTCTGCAGTTTGGTAAGAAGATATTTGTCTGACTCCATAAAAAAATTTGGTAGGATTCTGTAATGCTCTCATCACTCTTCTTACTGATGAATGTAGAAGGTCCAGTGGAGGATTCTGAAGACCATGAGGATGACTGAAACATGAAAAGAAAGGAACTTGGACCCCTGAATGATGACATAGAGTGTTCCTCTCTTCCAGTTCATACTGTCTTATAACATGAGTAAGAAATAACCCTTCTTTAAGTAAATCTCTATGATTTTAGAGGTTTTTGTAACAGCAGTTAATATATTCTATCTAAAATGTTTGGAATAAAAGACTAAAGTCAGAGCTTACAGATACCCATTTTTGAAGATTTATTTTGTTAATTAAGGGAATAGATAAACTTTCTTAAAGGAGTGAGAATAAACAAATATAAACAAATCAAAGTAGAGCTTCTGAATTAATGTGGATTAGGCAGATACATTGAATCCCTTAAAAATGGACATTGTGCAAGTTAACTGTGTATCCTTATCTATATAAATCTACCCACATCCATAAGCATATCCATGTCTACAAAAACCAAAGGAAATTTGAAAGTTTCATAAACAAGCAAAATTGTTAATAATTTCTAAATAAGTAGATTGATAAGAATGAAGATGCTAGTAAAATCTTCCAAAAAATAAAAACAATGTATTTCAGCATAATGGAAATAAAGTTAACATCAGTAGATGCCAGAAGAGTTTAGAAAAATTTCTTCTAAGGTATACATGGGCAAAATAATGATACTTTGGAAATTTTAGAGTTATATTTACTATACGTCCTTTTAAAAAAATTTTAAAAGGATATTTGCTGGGCAATACCCAGGAAAAATTAATGAAAGCAAAGTAAAGACCTGGAATTTAAGATAAGGGGAAAGATAAAAATTACAGTTAAGTATAAGTTTTTCTAATAGACACAAAATATATCATTTTCATATGTAGAATTATATAACATTAAATTATATGAGCTTTGATTTTTAAAATGCATATATTACATGCAATTCCAGTCATGATTTCAATAATATCAAATTAAATAGATGTAAAATTTATGTAGAAAAATTAAAATTTACAATATAAGGCCCACAGTTTTTTAAATAGAGAAAATATCAGGATTTACCCTATCAGATTTTAAATATCCTACAAAGTTATAATAATAAAAATATTGTACTGGAACAAAGAAATAAAACAATAAAATTACATAACCCAGAAATGGACCTAGATATCAAAAGCAACAAAATAACTGATAGAAATTGTGTAAAAAATCACTGGGAGACAACACTGATGACATTGTATAACTAGATCACTTTATAAAATATAATTACCATATAAATAATAAGTTCCCAGTAGATTATACCAAATGAGATTGCAATTATGGATAACAAACCAAAACAGTAACTTAAAAAATGTAGAACTGAGTGGGAAAAAGATTTATCATAATACCCACAAAACAGAAGCAACAAAGAAAAAACAAAGGTCTTGTGTTCTGTGAAAAATAACACAACCAAAATTATTTCATAAATCACAGATCTGGAAGAGCTATTTGTAATCTCTAAAATCTTGAAACTGTAATCTTAAAAATTCACAATAAATGGATAAAGGAAGAAGAAGTTATAGAGAAATGTGTATGTATGTGTGTGTGTGTTTATTGGGTGAGTGTGGGGTACAAGGGCTAAAGGAAAATCTTTCAAAGTAAAAAGAAAAATATTAAAAACATGACAAATGCACAAAGTATTTAAATTGATAGCAGGCTGAAAAATATAAAATGAATAATAAGTATAAAAGAAGCTCTAAATCTTGAACCAAATCCTGGAAACACATCAAAACAGAACCTCTTTAAAGTATAAATCACACAGGACCTATGAAACAAAAATACAAATTAAAAAACAAAAACAAGGCACACAGGGGAAAAAATAGCACGATGAATGGAATGGTACCTCACATCTCAATACTAATATTGAATGTAAATGGCCTAAATGCTCCACTTAAAAGATATGGAACCACAGAATGGATAAGAACTGACCAACCAACTATCTGCTGCCTTCAGGAGACTCACCTAACACATAGCTACTCACATAAACTTAAAGTAAAGGGGTGGAAAAAGGCATTTCATGCAAATGGACACCAAAAACAAGCAGGGTAGCTATTCTTGTATCAGACAAAACAACCCTTAAAGCAACAGTAGTTAAAAGAGACAAAGAAGGACATTATATCATGGTAAAAGACCTTGTCCAACAGGAAAATATCACAATCCTAAACATATATGCCCCTAACACTGGAGCTCCCAAATGTCTACAAAGATTACTAATAGACCTAAGAAATGAGATAGACAGCAACACAATACTAGTGGGGGGACTTCAATACTCCACTGACAGCACTAGACAGGTCGTCAAGACAGAAAGTCAACAAAGAAACAAGGGATTTGCTTTTAGAAAATTCAAACCTATGTGTTAAATAGCCTAGGAACCAAGGGAAAAATTGTTTGAAAGTGAGGTCAAGAGAATATATACACATTAAATGATAAACTTATTAAAGAACTATCACAAAAGTGAGGGACACATAAGTAAGCTATAAAATCTAGTGATATAGACTGAGAAATTAAAAGTATAGATTAATGAAAGGCATTTATATTTTGGAGAATAGAAGGAAATTAGGTTTAGGATAGATCACACTGAGGGACTATGTTATTTATTTATTTATTTATTTATTTATTTTTTTTATTTTTTTTTATTTTTTGAGACGGAGTCTCACTCTGTCACCCAGGCTGGAGTCAGTGGCGCGATCTCAGCTCACTGCAACCCCAGCCTCCTGGGTTCAAGCAATTCTCCTGCCTCAGCCTCCTGAGTAGATGGGACTACAGGCACGTACCACTATGCCTGGCTTAGTTCCAAGTTTTTTGTATTCTTAGCAGAGACAGGGTTTCTTCATATTGGCCAGACTAGTCTCCAACTCCTGACCTGGTGATCTGCCTGCCTGGACCTCCCAAAGTGCTGGGGTTAAAGGTGTGAGCCACCACGCCCAGCCCAGGACTATTTTCTTGACCTGGGTGATGGTTACAAATATTTTCACCTTGAATTCTACATTACTTCGTGTGACCTTTGAAATCTGTTTTTTTGTTTTGTAATAAAATAGTTTATATAAAAATAAAAAGAGCCCATAAGTGCATACATTGCTCAAATTAATCAGCCAGCTCTGGTTCAGGCCAAATCAATGTTTGAAACATTATCTCTCATACCTGATACTTTTTTAGGCCACAGGAAAATTCTTCACATCTTTTGCCCTATGTCTTTAAAACAAATTTAATTGTTTCAAAATGCCAGTAAATTCTCTCTTTATATTTACTCAAAGAATAGTTTACAGATATGCACAAAAGGAGGCATGCAAGCTACTGTAAAACTTAAGCATTTTTCCATCTATTTGAAACATTCTATATGTTTATCAATAAAATATTTGGATTAAGAAGGTTTTAAAACAAAATATAAATATCTGAAAGACATATTTTTGAGAAACCAAATATTACCAAGATGAATTACAGCTATATACTATTCATGTAAAAGAAAAATAATACCAACTATAATATATAATGCAACGTGTTGACTGGGCATATGCTTATGTTGTCACAGGCATAGAAAATATATTTACAATGCTACATCCCAAACTATCAGTAATCAAATAACATTCCTCTTTTTAACATTTAAAAAATATATTTTGGAAGGAAAATGTATTTCAGTGTTACTTTCAAAATCAAATAAATTTTAAAAGTTAGTATAATCCCAATCAAAATTCCAAAAGATTTTTATGAATCCCATGATGTGCTTCACAAAGAAAATGAATTAAAATATTTTAAAATTGGAAAATTTGTTGATAACACAAGAGTTAACACATATAATGCTATGTGCTAAACAACATTGTAAACACTATACATATATTCATTTAATCATTATGCCAATCTTATATGATATACTTATTATACCCATTTTATAAGATGAGAATCTAAAAACAGAGAAATAATGGAACTTGCCTAAGATCACATAATTAGCAATTGGTAGGGTTAAGGTTCAAACACCGTATTGCTAATTATGTGATCTTAGGGAAGTTCCCATTTATCTTTCTAGGATCCATATCCGAATCAGGGTTCTATATTTCATTCCTGAGTGGGATCATATTATTTTATATATATCATAGCTGTGTGATATTTATGCAAAATAGACAAATGTATATGTGTGTATACATATACAAATATATGTGAGCTTTGCTTGTGATAAATGTGTCATTTCACATTTAGTGAACAAGGAAAGTTCTCTTTAGTATTATTAAGATAATCATCTACTTATTTATATTAAAAAAGTGTATCTTACCCCATTCCAAAACTAAATTTCAGATAAATAAAAGAATCTTGTGCTCATATGTGAATTCTAGGTTAAAAAAGATCTCACAAAGTCAGGCAAAGGATAAAGAAACCACAAATAAATTATTTTTTAATCTATAAATTTCTCAAAAACAAAATACATCTTTAAAAAGATAAAGGAGGCCTGGTATGGTGGCTCATGCCTGCAATCATAGCACTCAGGAAGACTAAGATAGAAAAATTGCTTGAACCCAGGAATTTAGAAACCAGCAACATAGTGAGACCCATCTCTACAATTTTCTTTTTAATTTAAACATAAAGAGTGTTGGCCTTACATGAAAACTGTATTTTTTTTCAGTAATTATACATTTGAAGTATTTTTATCTGACACTATTTTGAAAAGTTAAGAAAGTAAAGTTTCTTCAGGGTTTTGGGATAGGTGGGCTGGCTGATTTCCTATTTTAAGATGGTCTAAGGAAAAGGATAAAAGCCCTTCAATCAAGCTCTAGCTTATCTAACCCACAGCCAATCAGTAACAAAAGGCTCAGTAAGCTATTAATTGTAAGTTTCTATTTCAGGGGCTAACGACTTTCCTGGAGCCCCACATGTGCAGTTAGACTTTAACCTAAAGTTACCTTTTCCTCATTTTAATGCTAAGATTCATGCTGAGGGGTAGAGATTTAAAATGCCAATGTTACATGCAATGTATGAAGAAGCATGTTGATCAACTGCACAAGTGCTAGAAGACTCCTCTTATACATGCCCTGAAGTGACTCTTCCCTATGAAAAGACTCTGAGCTACGCACCACCCTCATGGAGCAGCCTGCTCCTTTTTCCTGTCTAGGGACTAGTTCCCTTGTGCACAAGCTAATAAAATCTCCTTTAATGCTATGTTTGGTAATCTTTAAAACTATTTTGCATTGTTAAATCAATAAAATTAACCACACACTTTCTTATAAACATCATATTTACTATGCACATGAAACTGACATGTCCAGAGTTTTCCTATTCATTTATCTGATCTAGTTTTTATTGAAGTAATAAAATAAATCACTACCATTTAAATTTAAAATCTAATCTTCGAAAGAGTTTTCTGAAAATAGTAAATGATTTTGATTTCTCTAACCATTTACAGTTTAAAATTTCTTTTCCAAAGAGAGTGCCTGGTGCTTTATAAACCGTAATTCTGAATTTAAAAAAAAAAAGTTTATTGAAAATCATGGATCAGGTTTGTGATAGTTTAGTACCTAATGTTATTCTTAGAAAATTTCTTCATATTTTACAATATCAAGTTAAATGAAATCTTACAAACACTGTCTGTACCTTACAAACAATACTCTATTTAACAATCATTTACATTAAAACGGACTTAAGTGAAGTTCACACAAATGCAAGTTTTCAATAAATAAGTAATGGGTATTCAGCCTGACATCAGGAATTACTGGCTGCCCAACTTGCTCTGAGGATTCAGAATATTGAGCAAAAAAATACACATTTTAGGGTTACCAATCTCAAGAATCTTGTACTTGTGTTATGCTTTAATCTTAATTAAAAAAAAAAAACTGGAAAAATAAATTCGGGCAAAATCAGGAATGGGAAACCTTATGAGAAAAATTTAATGTTAAACTTATCTATATTTTCTAAAATGCTCAAAAGCTGCCAAAATGCCCTATTTATTAACAAATATAAAATTTTAGTTTAAACTATTTTTGCACAAGTGGTTCTCGCTTGAGGATTTACCAATTTATTAATCTATTGAAGAATGTAAACTAATATCCTAAAAAACTATTTTGAATATTTTGTATTACTTAAAAGCAATTTAGACAGAATGAGGACTGAAGAATTGTGCAATTTGAATGTAAAATTTGAATCCTTAACCTTCTTAATAAAAATAATTTCTCAAAATTTTCTCATCATATTTCACAAAGGATATGAATTCGCTTTTTCTCAAACATAACAAACCAGAGAAGTGCTCCAAATGAAAACCCTAACAAGATTTATCATCCACATTGCTTGAAATTCAACAAATCAAGCTTCAAATAAAGATTTTATTAAAATATACTCAAAATTTATATATTATGATAAAACTAAATGACAAAATAACTACATAAATACTCTGAGGACAAAATAATAAAAATTAATTATGAAACTGCTCAAAATGTGAGTCAAAAATGAATTAAGTTTCGTATATATAAAGAGTGTGATGAAACTAGCAAAATCTCACGTCGGCATTAATTTAGAGTTTTACGACATTTTAAGAACTTTTTCAGTTTTCATGCCTATGTTATCTTTTGCAATTTTCCAAACAATTTCCTTCTCATCATTTTCTTGACATTTCAGTTATCTTCACAAAAAAAAAAATCTACTTTTTGCTAAATAAAAGTTGTTTTTCCTGCCACAGGGAAAAAAAATTCCTTAACTGGAGGCAATTTGAAAATCTGAACAGGCAAAGAATATGTATTTCCTATTCTGTATTGTGTAAATTCAATATGATTATCTTGCATATATTTTACTTCTCTCAGTACTGACCTTGGAGGAATCCCATCTTATTTGTGCCTTTCTCAATTAAGTGGGGGAAAGCATTTGCGCATCTCAGTGCCTAGATTTCAATACATAAAACACAATGGCTATAAGCTTCATTAATGTTTTACCAATTTGTTCCTAATATTAACTCTGAGATAGTTTTACTTCTTATAATTTGGCTTATTCCAAGCATACTATGTAAAGCATTGTTGTATACTGTGTTTCTGAAATTTCTCGAGTGGAATGCAATTTTAAACTCTGAAATATATTATCACATAGAAATTTAAGGAATCACATTATCCTCAAATAAATCTATTGTATATTATAGGGAAAGTTATTGAGTATGTTAATTATTTAAATCCTTCTTACTGCAATTCCAATCCTTCTTATTGCAAAGTTAATAGATGTAGTTTTTATTTAAAAAGCATTATGTATAACTTTATTAAAATAGATATTCAAACATTAGAATTTTAGGAGATGTATTCAGGCTAATTGAAAAAAATAGTGTGTATTAACCGTGTACCGAGCACTGTGCTATTTACCAAATATACAGAAAGTCTTATAAAATAGTTATCTCCACCAAAATAGGAGATCAGTCTAAGCTATTCATTTGATACCTCGGTTAAATATACAAAAATGGTTAATCTTATCTTGATAGATAATGGTGATTGATTAAATAACTCCCTATATTACTGAGCACTAGAACTGTCCATTCCTTAAGCAATCTGTGCTCTAGATGACCTTTGGAGAAGCAGCTAGAAAACAGTGGTCTTTAGGCACATCGCTTAAAACTCTTGGGCTTAGGTCTCACCATCTAGGTAATGAGAAGATTTTTCCAGGTGAACATTTGAGGAAAAATATCTTACATTGTATCTCTCTCTCCCTGCTAGTAGTTTGAGTGATTTCTTCAGTACCAAACAGATTCCTACACTAATTCCTCATGAACAGGTTGCATAGTTTCACTATTATGCAGTATGAGAAAATTGTGTGATTGTAATTTTATCAAATTTTATCAAATAATTGTCTGTGAAAACAAAACTTTTATTTGCTTTCACAGGTAAACATGTAAGTGGTCCCATAATAAGAATGACACCTTATCTTTTATTTTATATTTTTCCTTTAAATGTTTATTTTTATAATAATTTTTGGGGTTGAATCATAATCCTGAAAAATACAGTGCTGAATGCAAAAATACCAAATGTCAAAATCTCAAAATATCAAAATCTTTAAAGTCTAAATCATTAAAGTCAAAAATCGCTAATGTCTGAAATCCCCACAATCACAATCACAGCATAACATCATCATGTTATATGTTAGATAGAACTAGTAACTTGTCATTGTCTTTACTTGAAAATTAAGTTTGATGCATATGGATGCCAAGCTGACAGTGGGTGGACTAGTTGAATTAATTTTAGATGTTAATTTGAGATTAAGAAATATCTAGAACCTGGTAAAACAATTTGTTATGCTATGTATTTAATCTTTGCATCATTTTCCAATAACAGAGGTGTAAACTCTGTATAGAATTTTAGAAAATTCTTATTCATTTTATGCACTTATATATGTAAATGCAATGTTTGTATGATATATGTTTGTGCCCCCAGTTTCTTTCCTTGCCTTTTTTTTTGAGACAGAGTCCCGCCCTGCTGCCCAGGCTGGAGTGAAATGGCATGATGTAGGCTCAGTGCAAACTCCGCCTGCCAGGTTCAAGCAATTCTCCCTGCCTCAGCCTCCCGAGTAGCTGAGACTGCAGGTGCTCGCCACCACGCTGGGCTAATTTTTGTATTTTTAGTAGAGACTGGGTTTCTCCGTGTTGGCCAGGCTGGTGTCAAATGCCTGATCTCAGGCATCCCAAAGTGCTCAGATTACAGGCATAAGCCATGTGCCCCCAGTTTCTAACACAGAGCTCCTAAAACTCTCCTAATCTCTTGAGTTATAGGGGTGCTAAAATAGTATTTTAAAAAATATTTAGTCTTTGACATCAGTTTCACACACAGAGCTCCTTGGAACCTCCTGGGTAATAGGAGCATTTTTTCTTCCAATGAAGCAACTCTTGTTGGGCTTCTGGATAGGGGCTGGTCACCAAAAGGATTCAGCCATAATTATTGAAGATCGGAATTTTCAGCCCACTTAATACTCTGGGAATTGGAGAAAAGCTGGAGACTGAGTTAATTATTGATTACGCTGTGATTAAGCCTCAAAAAAAAAAAAAAAACCTGAAGTACAAGGTTTGGAGAGCTTCCATAATTCATACTCTGAACAAAATTGTTTCAGGTTGGTGAACATATCCACATGCCAGGAGGGTTGTGCACCTCAACTCCACTGGGACAGAAACTCCTGCAATAGAAACCCTCCTAGATCTCCATCTACATACCTTTTCATGACTATTTATCTGTATCCTTTATCCCATCCTTCGTGATAAATTGGTAAATGTCAGTATATGTTCCCCTGAGTTGCATGAGCCATTCTAGCATATTATAAAGTTTTAGGAGGAGGTTGTAGGAATGCCTGATTTGCAGGCAGTCTGTTAGACACACAAGTGACAATCTGGACTTGTAATTGGTGTCTGAGGTCAGGGATAGTCTTGTGGGACTGAACCGTTAACCTGTGGGATAGGCATTAAATCCATAAAGTTAGTGTCAGAATTGAGTTAGACTGTAGGATACTCAATCAGTGTCCACTAAGAATTGGAGAATCACTTGGTGTGGCAAAACCCCCACACATCTGGTGTCAGCTTTAAAAAATTGACAAGCTTTAAAAAATGTCGCCAGATTCTTAAACAACAAAAATCGAAGGCCTTCCCCCTCCCCAATAATATTGCAATCTTTGGAGAGATTTCATCAGATTTTTTGTATGACTTTATGCTTTCAAAAACCTCTCCCTGTAAATCATTGTGCATTTTTACATCTTCCATAAATACAAAAGGATTTAAACAAATTATTACTCTATACCTCTCATGTTAAATACTTTACTCCAGTAAAAGGATAAGTAAACCCACTTCTTTGCTCATTGCTGATCGGTTCTTCAAATGTGTCCTCAACGTTCCATAGAGAACCTACATTTGAAGAGTATATGTCAGTCATTCCTTATAATGTAAAAAATAGTGCTCAGTTTTCACAATGAAAAAGTTAATTGAGCCATTCTAAATGCAGTTAATCCTTAACAATGCAGGGTTTAGGGGCGCAGATCCCCTTCCAACTGTTGTCACAGTTGAAAATCCATTTATAAATTTTGGCTCCCAACAACATCTCTACTAATAGTTTATGTTGACTGGAAGCCTTATGGATAACATAGTCATTTAACATACATTTTGTATGTTATATGTATTATATACATATTTTGTACATTATATGTATTATATATATTCTTACAATAAGGTAAGCTAAAGAAAAGAAATGTTATTAAGACATTATAAGAAAGAGAAAATGTATTTACAGTACTTTACTGTATTTATTGATACCATAATTTTACCTTATCTCTTTATAAGATGAATCGTCTGCCTGAAATGGCAGGCAATCACAGCTGCAGACCTCAATCTCTGGTACACATCAAGCAATTTTCTTGTAATGTCATGACGTTTCTCTGCTTCTTGGAAGCACTTCCAGCATCACTAGTGGCACTTTGCATGAGTTCCGTGATGTTACTCAACGTTTACAGTATTGCACTAAACACAATGAAAAATACGTGAGAACCACGAGAGATCACTTTATATGTGATATGCAATTTACTGGAGAAATGAACTGCTCATGCAGAGATGATTAGCATCACACGGTGTTTTAAGCATATACTCGCAACACTTAAGCTCACTGCAATAGCAATGAGAAACAGCTATGGAATTATTACAGCAGTACAGTATGTACTATGGTTGATTTTATGCAGTTGTAATTTAATACTGCATCTTTATATTTGTTTACATTTCTCTCCACTGCAAATGGCACCATGTACTGTCTGTGTTTGTGCGTGTTAAGTTTTTATAAATGTTACATTTTTATTAAAATCTGTGTATAATTTGTGGTGGGAAATGATACCACAGACTTATATCTACATATATTTTTGCATACATGAAATACATAACAGTTTCTTATTTTTTGATATATCCAGGGTCGCAGTTCATCTGTGAGTTTTCTCAAGTTGTCACAAATCTCCAAAAATTATTCCCGTATGTTTATTTTTAAAAATCCATGCATAAGTGGACCTGCACAGTTCAAACCCACTTTGTTCAAGGTCCAGTGCACTCTAGCAGATGCATAATCTAATGAAATAAAAGATAACAAATTTTATTGTTTTGAATTTACAATCTGCTTTTAAGATTTTTTAAGCAAGATAGACGAAATATATTT
Source organism: Homo sapiens (assembly GCF_000001405.40). Lineage (NCBI taxonomy): Eukaryota > Metazoa > Chordata > Mammalia > Primates > Hominidae > Homo > Homo sapiens. The sequence goes on along the minus strand of NC_000006.12, from coordinate 102,223,438 downwards.
GATTTTTTACATACTCTGAATAAAATTATTATATTACTTTGAATAACCAGTGAGTAATTTTCTCTTTTTTATTTCAAATAATATATAAACTTACTATTAAAATACAGACATGATTACATTTTAACAGCCAATTGAATGCATATTACATTTTATTTATTAAATCATTGTTTTGTTATTTGTGTTATTTTTCAAAAGCTTTTAGCAATGCAGTTTTTAAGATAAAAGCATATTATAACAAAATAACAATATACTAATACTTTCAACATTTCTTCTCTGAGGTATAAAGCATGCGAGAGCCCTCTACTAGGTAGGAGAAGAACTAGATTGTAGTTAGGAAATCACTAGTTGATTGCCATGGAAAAATGTCTTAACCTCTCAAAAACTCATTTTCTTCTTCTGACTTTGTACATAGAATAAGCTCCAGACAATCTTACAAAAATTAAATACTAGATTATAGAGATTTCTCCCAATTCATTATAAGAATTCACCCAGTTGGCAATTATCATAAGATATTTTAAAAGATTAAGAAGCAAAATTGTTGCATTTTGTGGCCATCATTGAGTCCAGTTTAGTATACCAAAATCTTACAAAATTTGTGGGCCCACTTTAAGAAAAATAATTCAAACTAAGCACAGAGTCTTGGAAGCAGCCCATGCAAATGAGAGACTCTGAAGCTTAAATTTTATTAGCTTTTGCAACATTTATAATAAAAAAAGGAGCTAGATTAGAAAGAGATGCTTAGATAAAAGTTGGATACAGTGAGAAAGAAGGAAATGTGTTCCACGACCCTGTGGTTGAAGGCAGTATAGTGTGTTCAATGAAATGAAAAAAAAAGAAAAACAAAACAAAACAAAAAAACCCTGTGTGGCTGGAATGGATGCAGCTTAGGAGAATGTGAGCATTAAACCAGATAGGTGTAAAAAAAAAAAAGTGCTTTATAGTTGATAAAAGGTATTGCAAATATTAAGAACAATTATATATTTAATATTGTCTGTAAGTTGAACAAGAGTAAATGTGCTTTGCAAAGAGGCCAGTGAGGTACACGTGGCCCTCAAAATGTAAGACTATTGTAGGCCATTTTAAGAAATTCTGTCTGCACTTTAAAACAAATATAACTCTCAGAAATTTTTAAATTGGATAGACAGGAATGAGGGTGGGGCCAATGAATGCCATCAGATTTGTGTTTCATCAAGAGTACTGTGGTGTGTTTAAACATGAATTAGGTAAATTAGATAATAATAAGAGGCTGATGAAGCAAAACAGGTAGAAATAGTAGTTAGACTGAGTGGTTTCTGGTAGATACCAGGGAAGTGATCTGATTTGAGATGTCCTTTGAAGGGAAAGTCCGCAGGAAAGTTGAAGAGGGCATTGTCTGATAACTCCTGGATTTTCCATTTACATAATAGACAAGTTGTAGAATCTAGAAGAAATGCAAATTTGAATAGGAGGAAGATGAATTCAGTCTGATTCCTTTAGCGAGAGGTGGTATGCAGACATTCAAGAGGTAAGGCCAAATAGACTGTTGGGAGGTCTACATCTGTATGGTCCAATCAGTAGCCAGTAGACATGTAGTTATTAAAATAAAATTTAAAGTTCAGTTTTTCAATCTCACTAGCTTCATGTCAAGTGCCCTATAGCCAAGTGTAGCTAATGGCTACTGTTTTAGTCAGTTCCAATATAAAAAATTTCCATCTTAGTGGATAATTCTGTGGGAGTACACTGGTCTAGGTAAAAATTCAATTTGTGATTTTCCTGCAGAAAGGGGTAAATAAAGGTGTTAGAGGAAGAGTAACGAATAGAGCTGCTACTTGCAGAATGCTATCTTTAAACAGAAGAGAAATAATGACCAGACAAGTAATGTGGAAGACCAAGGAGTTTGCATTATTAAACTCAAGGACATAAAACACTTCAAAATATGGGAAATGGTGAACAGGTCTGAATGCTGTTAAGAAGCAAAGGCAGGCCGGGTGCAGTGGCTCATGCCTGTAATCCCAGCACTTTGGGTGACCGAGGCGGGGGGATCACTTTAGGTCAGGAGTTCGAGACCAGCCTGGCCAACATAGTGAAACCCTGTCTCTGCTAAAAATACAAAAATTAGTCGGGCGTGGTGGCAGACACCTGTAATCCCAGCTACTAGGGAAGCTGAGACAGGAGAATTGCTTGAACCAAAGAGGCAGAAGTTGCAGTGAACTGAGATCGCGCCACTGCACTCCAGCCTGGGCGACAGAGCAAGACTCCATCTCAAAAAAAGAAGCAAAGGCAGATGAAATAATCAATTGTGTGCAGTAACAAGTATTTGAAAAAATAGTGAGATTTCCCATTTTCAGAAGAGTGTTATGGTGAAAGCAAGAAGGGAGTGGTTTGAAGAGTTAATGAGAGATTGGAGAATTAGTACAACATTATGGATAAAATCTTCAATACTTGGTTGTGAAAGAAAACAGACAAAGTGCAATAACTCCGGGACCATGAGTTGTCAAGTGGGAGATCTGTATATCTACATATGTATGTACATATCTATCTATCCATTTATCTATCTATACATTCAGCTTCATTGAAAGAATGTGAATGAATTGAATAAATGAATTTAACTTAAAGGATAATTATCCATTGGGAGGGAAAAGAGGTAAATATACAAGAGTGAGAATAAATAATCTATGATGTAAAATCCTGAGGAAAGAGAAGAGATATAATACAAAGCAAAAAGTGGGAAGATTATCCTGGGATAGATTAATACAATTTACCAGAGTTCCTGTGATTTTAATATTTGAGTCATCTTTGAATTCATTGGTTTTGCTTTTGTTTTTCTAGTATGAAGCAATCCAAACACCTGGTTTCCACATGCACAAAATGTATTTTACTTACAGGTATTTCTATTTCCATGCTTGTCTGTTGTTTATATTTGCTTTTCCGTGATAATTTCGGCTAACTGAGTTAATGAAGCTTAGTGAATCATGCAAGACTCCTCTGTATTTCTCCCACATAGCAGTTACTTTCCAAATGTTAACTCCTTTCCCTGTCTGAGTAAATGGAACACTATCAATGATTTAGAGTTAATAATTACATGGTCAGATTTTTGTTTTGGGTAATTTCTTCTTCAGTTAAGTAGACAATATTTCTAAGCCAAGAAAAGACTGAAGTTAGGGCAGATAGTCATAGGTAAATGCAATAAACCAGCAGAGAAATGACAAAAGCCAGTGTTGTCAGGGATGTAAATGAGAAAAGTCAAGACAATGAAATAAATAGCCACCCCCACCCAAAAAAAGAAACTGGAATGTAGAATTATCTACAATACTAAGAATTATGTTGGCTTCCTGTTTGTATTTTTTAAATCACTTAGTCTAAGATTTAATGTTAGTAACAGCATTACAGCGTGTGTTAGTTTTGTCTATTTTTGTATGCATTGATCCAGTACATAACATATGCCTACATATTGAATAGATATACATAGTATATGCCTATATATTGAATAAATACCGATTATATATCATACTCATATTAAAATCAAATTTGTATCAAAATATACCAAATACTTATTTCATGAGTGTGTAGACTTAAATTTTTTATCTCTATACAGTTTCAATTTTTTAGATATATTTGGAGATTCATACATGAATCAAGTAAACAGATATCAACCAATAAGTTCAAAATATTTCAGAAACTTGAAATAGTTAGCTCAGCTAAGTCATTATAGAGGAAGTCGTTAGTATAGATGAAGTGTAATGCTTGGATTCATTACATTTTAGAATATATAGGGATAAAATTATAGATGAAAATTATAGAAAGGAGTAAAAAATCAAGAATATTTAACAATAATAAGAATTTAATAATCTAAAATGTATTTATACATTTCAGCATGTTGTGTTTTTCTAAAATGAAAAACTATGTCTTTCTTGGATTTTCATGCTCCTCACAGAATTGGCTAGGGCTTAAGTTACTTCTTTGTCATCTTAATATTCTGCTAATTGGACAGTTTAGTCTTGAGCCTTTGCCTAGCTTTGGATTTAGTTGTATTATGATACAACTAAATGTCTCCATTGTACTGCATTTTTATTAATCATCTGAATTACCTCAAAATACCACAAATGGAACCAATCATATCATAAAATGAACATGTTCTTACTATCCATTTCTTATCTTGGCTAGTGTCATAAGTATATACTCAGTTACCAAGTCCTGAAACTTGAGGGTTCTACTGGATTCCATCTTTTTATTTATTCCACTCTTTTAGTCAGAGGTTGTGATTCATTTAAAATTTCTGTTCTGTGAGAATCTTGTTCCACTCCAGTCCACATGGCACTATTTCCTTTGATGACAAAGAAAGAGAGAAACATAAGCTTACTTAAAGGTTTCTGTAAAATGTATTTCCAATATGTTAGCTATCTCTATTTTCAATTATGCAGATTGTAAAGCCCCTACAGCCTCCAACATATTCTGAGTACCAAAGCCTAGGAATAGAGTCCATCCTGTGTTCCTGCTAAGATTCTGTGTGTACTCTCTCATCTCTTCCTTTGCCTTAATAAAATAATTGTAATGCTCTTGGAATTTTGATGGGGAAGTAATGCCTAGATTGATTTTGAACTGAAAATGTCTCTCAAATTGCATGAAGTGCCTCAGCTACAAACTCCAAGATTTTAAAAAATGACCATAACATTTAGTCTTTATTCTCTTTCTTCAAAATTTAGCCCCCAAATTTCAAGAACATATTTGGATATATTCAACATATTTTATAGTCTATGATTTTGAATATTACTTTTGTTCAACACTACCTATTTAGCAAATGCATTGTGTTTGATTCTTCCATTCATTTATTGCAAACAATGCAATATAATCCCTTTCTTTTGTTTCTTACTGCAGTCATTTCTACTACTTCAGAAAATGGAAAGGAAATATTAAAAAAAATCACCTTATTTTTCCCAAACTGTCTGGAATGAAGGATCACCTTATTCTTCCCAAACATGAATGAATATACACTGAATGATCCCAAGGTCATCATAGTATACTATTTAGAAATGTGTGCTGAAAAGTCAAGCAGGACTAAATTTAAATGCCAACTACCACAAACCAACTGGAAATATTTACAAAAAACAATAAATATTTTCAGATGTGATTTTATGCAAGAATGTGTTGTAAACACTTTAGATAAATAAGAGTCAATTTTCCTGTGATGAGGTCGCTGAAGTTAGGTCTCTTCCAAACCTCCATGGAAACCAACAACTGCTGAGCTCTCAGGCAGCCAACCTTGTATGAGGCTGAGATGAAGGACTGAGACACCGGCCCAGTAAGTTGTACTGATGCAATCACATGTCTGAGAACCCAGCCTTCTGATCACACCATGTTGCTTCTCCACACGTATTTCTCTAACCACGGATGCTGATCTGGGAAATTAGGTCTTGCACTAACATTCTGCCCATCAGAGTGCTATAGAATTTTACCTTGGAGGGGATGGTGATTTTTAATTATGCAGTTTAAATAGCCCCACAGCCCAAGGGCTGGGTCCCTCTCCCAGAACCTAACATCCGTTCTTGCTTTATCCCTTGACCTTAACCCAAAATTAAATCGTTTACAGAAGAGCCACACTCTTACCGATGATCCAGTCTCATACCTCCAGTCATTATGTGTATGTTCTCTGACCATATATTTGAAGTCTGTTGACTCGGTACTACATTCTCAGTTTTCGTTGTTATTTTCCATAATATTCTTCTACATGCAAAGTCATAACCCAGCATTATAGTTTTCCTCTATGGCTTTACACCAACTTCCGGTTCTGCCCCAAATATCCTTTTCCTCTGCTCAGTAAATACCTATTCCTTAGGTGTTTCCTTAGAAGCCAAGTTAGATGTCACTTTTTCCTTTGTGTTTTATATTGCTTTCTGAATAGAAATGTTAATAGATGAAGATAATCACTGTACCTGGTACCAGTTTTGTTTCTACATATTTCTAGAAAAACATATAAAATAATAATTTTAATTGTTTATTTGAAAGTTTTGCTCTCTCAGCAAAATAAAAGTTTTGTAAGGGCAGGCAACATTCATCATTTTATCCCCATCTCTTAGCAAGATGCCAAATCAGAGTTGACATTTTATAAATTTGTGTAAACTAAAATCTGCCATAAAAACACCACTCAGAATCTATTGTGACACAAATAACCAAAATATTTAGATAATAAAGTTCAAAGCTACAATTTGAATGAAAATGATGCCACCATCTGGCTCATCACAAAGAGAAAGAGTTACAAAAATAATCTTTCAGAGTACTGATTACAAAGTCAAAATATACTTGATAACCCTTTGAGGGAAATAAAAATTTTACCAGTTATGCTTTCTTAAAATGTCTCTTATAATTTCAAAATAATATTGAAATATTTGGATTTGAACAATGATCTAACTTTCATGGCATTGTATGGGGCATATGAGGTCTATTGAATGGCTTCTTATAGTCACAACATCTGATCTATTGGCCCAAAAGAGTACAAATTACTGCTGTCATTTTGATCTTTTATTTTTTATTTATATAGTTGAGTCTTCTTCCTAAGTTGGTAGCTTAAAACAATTGATTTAAAAAGTTGATTCCTATCCTGTCGTTTATCTAACAAAATATCTCCCTGAAATCATGGGTTGCAGTTATTTCTTAAAATACTGGCATATCTTGTACTACATGCCACATATTCTATTTTTCATGAATATTCATCTCTTCCTATACCATACTGCATATTTCTAGTTGATTGATAATAATTTATAAAGATATTTGATATTTAGTTTTCTCATTTTGGTATGTAGGTATGAGATTCAAGCACGTAGAATACATGGAAGTTTTCCTTTTCACATGGGAATGATTATATAAATAAATATTCAAAAAAAGTGCTTCAGGGAAGAGGAAAATCCAAGTGGTTGCAAAAACAGTGAAGGGGAGACAGATGCCAAGTTTGCTCATCTGTGAGGGGCACTTAAAACTAGAGATCACATTCACTAAGCATGTTAACTATTCACAGTTTTACCAGCAGAGGCACTGCCCTTAGACTGAAATTAAAATAAGAATAAAAACCAACAAGAACAAATATACCTAGAGAAAACTCATCTCAGCCTAATTAATTTTTCATTGAGCATATAAATTCACAAATGGATTTTTAAGCCAAATGTCGCATGGTACATTTTAGTTAAACCAAAAAAAGCGATTTATTTTATTACCTAAATCACAGATATAACTATAATTCCAAAATGTTCTGTAAACTGGAAATTTTCTAAAGCCATCTGAAGACAGAGAAAAACTCCAGAAAAGTCAGAAATGTTTAGTAATTTTTTAGAAATAAATAATGTATTCTCTACTTCAGCCAGAAGTTGACAAGGAAGCAAGTCTCTTTTTGTGTACAATTTTCATCATTAGAAAAGTTGCATCACAATCCCACCAAACACTTAAGCAAATGAGTTAGCATAAAATATCAAGTTGTCAAATGAGACACACAAATCAGAGACTTTACTGTTTCAAGCTTTCTTAATAATTTCAAGTAAACAAGCTTTTAAGAGGCATAGATGAAACAAGAGGTGAGGATTTTCTACGTGCCTTTCTACACACACTGGATACACCCTCTTGGCCAAGTTGAAAGTTGAGGTCTAAAGTTAAGGAAGTGTGTGGTCTCCTTACTGACACAATCTGAAGCCAATTCAGTCATGAACTATCTCCATTTATTATTCAGATAAATAAATAAATCGTGTGGCATTTTCCAGAGAGCCATCCCCTAGCAATCCAAAGATTCCAGATTTATTTATAGTAAGCAATCTTAGATCAGGGACATCTGACATTCAAGATGTTTACAGGAGCATATTTTCTAGGCTCATATAAAGACTCTTGCTGGCATATGTTATTAGTTTGCCAGAAGGTCAGTTATTAGTGTGCTCACTAGGCGATTAGACCGGGATCACCTGCCTTCTTTCTATCTCAAGTGTGTCCCCCAACCTCATGAATAGGAGCAAAATGAATTGTGAGTTGTTCCTTAACATTTTTTTTTTTTATCTAGCATACATTTAACACACCTGGTGTGAAGTGACAGCAAATATTAGCATTCCATCACCCACTTTAATTGGAAATTGGACTGACCCAATGCAGGAAACTATTAGAAACTTCATGTACCAACATGCAACAGTAAGTCACTGGATATTGGCGGTAAACTATTAACATTAAGATAAAAATTGCAAACATGGAAGGTACAAAATGTCTTTACCTTCACAGTGAACTGCTCAAGGATCTGCTACATAGCAGAAGCATGATCATATTTGTCAATTTGATTTTTTTTATCCAGAGACAACTTTTAGTTTTGAAAGAAAAAAACTTCAATTTAAAGATTCAAATTAGCTTTCCTATATTTCAATTTAAACCTCTAAAATATTTTAAATCACACTATTTAAGAATATGTAAGTTGACTTTGACAAGTTTTAGCAGTATTAAACTTGTTTTAGTTGTAATAAAAAATACGTAAATTTTCTGTAGGTACCGCATAAAAGCGTATAAAACTGGCAGAAAAAGTAATGCTGCTGATTTCAAGTTTTAAAAGGCATGTTCCAAAAATGGATAGTGAAAGTAGAATGAACATTATGCAATAAAAAGAAAAATATGCTTAACAGAAGTTTTTAATTGACTCCTACTGTCTATTATTAAATAGCATAAGTGTTAACTACAATCAGTCATACTTTAAGCTGTTGGTTTAATTTACTTAAAAATGTTATTACTTATATTTATTATTGTTTTAAACAAATTTGTATCAATTTCCTTAACGATGGGCATTTTTGAAAATTATTTGGCTGCTCTTTTGTAAAAACAGAAACAACAAAAAGGTTTATCAATACCAATATTTATTTAGCAAATGACTTTTTAAAAATTGCTTTTCTTCTAAAACTAATGAGCCCAAGGTGACACCACAAATAAATAAAATGAGTAATATAAATTAGTAGAATCAGATGTTTCAAAATTAAATTTGGGGGAATGCAATAAAAAATATTCATTCTGGCTTATAAACCTCTCATAAATGCAAACAAATATAAGTGAAGAATAATTATGATTAATATGAATTTATACTTTACTTTTATCTTTATTGAATTTATTAAAATATGTGTTCTTTCACTGCAACAGAACTCCTCAGGTTATATGATAATTTAGGAATGAGTAAATATTTTTTGAAATAATTTTAAGATTTTGAGAAATACATGATTTAAAAACTTTTTCAGCCGAGTGCAATGACTCACACCTGTAATCCTAGCATTTTGAGAGGCCAAGGCGAGTGGATTGCTTTAGGCCAGGAGTTTGAGACTGACCTGGGCAACATGATGAAACCCCACCTCTACTGAAAAAGTAAACATATAAATAAAATACAGAAACTGAGGCAGGAGAATCACCAGAGCCTGGAGAGGCAGTGAGCCATGATTGCACCAGTGTACCCCAGCCTGGACAACAGAGTGACAGACCATTCAAAAAAATAAATTGCCCCATTGCAGTCAAGCACTGCTTAATGACAGAAATATGTTCTGAGAAATGTGTTGTTAGGCAATTTCATCATTGTGTGAATATCAAGGAGTTTACTTACACAAACCTAGATGATGCAGTCTACCATACACCTAGGCTATATGATATAGCCTATTGCTCCTACAACCCTGTACAACATGTTACTCTACTGAATACTGCAGGCAGTTGTAACACAATGGTAAATATTGTGCATTTAAAAATTTAAAAGTTTCAGTAAAAATATATTACAATCTTTCAGGACCATTTTCTTATATGTGGTTCATTGTTGACCAAAATGCCATTAGGCAATGCATGACAGTATTTTATATTTGTTCTTGATTTTTTGCACATAATTTTTGAGCAAACCAAGATGAGCATGTAAAACTGTAGGCTCCCTGTGGTCACTATTTTTGGTGCCAATTTGAGAATTTGTGTTTTTATTATTTCCGCTAACATATTGTTGTGAAATCTTATAAACATTCAGAGTAAGTTTTGTTTTCACTGATTTAGGAGTAGCTATTAGAATTTCAAGATTGCTGAGGTTTACTAGTTTTATTTATACAGCCATATTTATATAGTAGTAGTTATTTACATCTAGCATACTTACAGATAGTAAACTCTAAAGTTTAAATATCACATATATGTTCAGAAAAAGAATTATTCATATGTTCAGCCATAAGGAAATATGACATTTAAAAAAATTATCATGGATAAATAAATCAAGGTATATTACAGCATTCTGTTAAAGCCAAAATGATACAGAAAGTAAAAATATCAGTGATCGCTTGCCAGGGGCTGGGTAGGATGGAAGAATGAATATGCAGAGCACAGAGGAATTTTAAGGCAGCGAAAATATCCTATGATACTAGAGTAGTGGATGCATGTCATTGTGCATTTGTTCAAACCAATAGAAGGTACAGTAGCAATAGTGAGCCATAATGTAAACCATGGATTGTGGGTGATTATAATACAGCAGTGTAGGTTAATCAATTATAACAAATGTGGCACTCTGGTGGCTCTGGTTGGGTATTTTAATAATGGAAGAAGCTATGCATGGGTAGGGACAAAGGAGCATATGAGAAATCTCCATACCTTCCTTTGAATTTTGCTGTGAACCTAAAACTACTCTAAAAAGACAATAAAGTAACAGAAAATTATTATATCATTGTAAAATTTTTCTGTGCTGTGTTCAAAATGATTTTAAAATTTTTATAATGATGAATATTGCATTAGTCAGGGATCTTTAGAGAAATAGAAACAGTAGGAGATACACACACAAACACACACACACACACACACACAAATTATATATAATTCAGTTATAGAGAAATAGATACATAGGTTTTGTTGTTGTTGTTGTTGTTGTTGTTGTTTTTCTTTTTTTGATGGAGTCTTGCTCTGTCTCCAAGGTTGAAGTGTCTTCGCACAGTCTCGGCTTACTGAGGCCTCTGCTTCCTGGGTTCAAGCAATTCTCCCACCTCAGTCTCCCAGGTAACTGGGACTACAGGCCCATGCCACCACACCTGGCTAATTTCTGTATTTTTAGTAGATACGAGATTTCACCATGTTGGCCAGGCTGGTCTCTAACTCCTGACCTCAAGTGATCTGCCCACCTCAGACTCTCAAAGTGCTGAAATTACAGGCATGAGCCACCATGCCTGGCCCAATTATATATATTATATACAGAATATTATGTGAGATAATTCTAATATATATATATGTTATTGTGAGGAATTGGCTCACATACTTGTGGAAGTTGAGAGGTCCCAAGATATGCTGTCTGTAAGGTGGAGATTTAAGAAAGCTGATGGTATAATTCCTTACACCTGAATCTGAGGGTCTGAGAACCAGGGCAGTCCACAGTGTAAAATTCAGTCCAAGGGCCAGAGGAGCTGGGATGAGATGTTCTAGCTCAGTCACTGAGACAGGGAAAGAGAAGTGACTTCTTCCTTTTTCCACCTTTGTTCTATTTAGCTTTCAAGGGATTGGATGGTGCCTACTCACACTGGGGAGTACAATCTGCTTTACTCAACCTAAAGATTCAAATGCCAATCTCCTCCAAGAACACTGTCACAGAAATACCCAGAAATAACGTTTAATCTCAGCACCCTATAGACAGTCAAGTTGATGAGTAAAATTAACCATCACAATGTCTGAAATTACATTATATATATAATATATGATATATATACATTTTTTACTGTGCTTTGATTATTAGGCCACAGAGACATTTATTTTAAGTTGACTCTGAGAAACTTTTCAGTCTATTCTTTGATCTCACATGACATTGACAAGGGCCAGATGATCTATGTATTCAGTTATATTGTAATTTACCTTTGGGATATTTTAGTGGTTTTCTTTTATTTTTAATTTGCATAGCTTTAAAAACATGTAATTTAAGGTTTAAAGGAAAATTAATCTAGAAGAAGGAGACAAATTACATTTATTTTTACTATGTATGTGTTAAAAAAGACAATATATTTTTGGATAGAAACTATAATACATTCTAAGTTGTTTATAAAGTATGGTACTAATATATATTAAGTAGAAAAAAGTCAAGAAAAATAGTTTTTACATTTTTTAATACATGTTTCTCTGTAATCTCAAATTATTTGACATTTTAGTACATAACTTGAAAATGAAGTGAGAAAGCATACATGTATTAAGCATGGCCATAATGACCACTTAAAATATTCTTAAAGATATTTTTAAAAACTCCCTTTTGTTTAGTTACCACCATTTGGAAACCACTGACACAACGTATTACATCAGGGTTGGCATGCAAGCATGTGGAATAGATTACAACCAATATAATAAATTTTCAGTTGCCCTCATTAATAAATAAAATAATAACTCCTTAAATTTAAGAGCTAAATATTTGTTTCTTAAGCTTCAGTCTTTTATAACAGAATAAAAGGAAATATATATTAGTCAAATCACATACGAAGGTTTTTAAATTTTTTTGCAAGTGTATAAATGAATTTCTGTGGCAGAAACTAGAAAGACAGAAATTTAGGATCAAATATTGGTAGGAGAAGGGCCCTAATAATTTTACTTAGGTTCTGGCTTGTAAACAGTGTTGACTTGTAAACTTGATATGTAGAATATGCTTCACCATTAACAAAATGGGCCTCTAACAGACTGTGAAAGATTATTTAATTTTGTTACAGTTCTTCCACCCTTTCTCAACATTAACTATCACAGTTAACTGGGCCTATAATATAATTTTCACCCATTGCAGTTGGTTATTGTATTAATCCCTTTTCACAATGCCGATAAAGACATACCACAGACTGGGAAGAAAAAGAGGTTCAATGAACTTACAGTTTCACATGGCTGGGGATGCCTCACAATCATGGTGGAAGGCAAGGAGGAGCAGGTCATGTCTTACATGGATGGTGGCAGGCAAAAAGAGAGCTTGTGCAGAGAAACTCGTGTTTATAAAACCACCAGATCTCATGAGACTCATTCACTATTATGAGAACAGTGCAGGAAAGACCTGCCCCCATAATGCAATCACCTCCCACTGGGATCCTCCCACAAAACCTGGGAATTGTGGGAGTTACAATTCAAGATGAGATTTGTGTGGGGATGCAACCAAACCGTATCATTCCACTCCTGCCCCCTCCCAAATCTCATGTCCTCACATTTCAAAACCAATCATGCCTTTGCAACAGTCCCCCAAAGTCTTAACTCATTTCAGCATTAACTCAAAAGTTCACAGTCCAATGTCTCATCTGAGACAAGGCAAGTCCCTTCAGCCTATGAGCCTGTAAAATCAAAAGCAGGTTAGTTATTTCCTGGATATAATAGGGTTACAGGCATTGGATAAATACAGCTATTCCAAATGGGAGAAATTGGCTAAAACAAAGGGGCTAAAGGCCCCATGCAAGTTCAAAATCCAGTGGGGCAGTCAAATCTTAAAGCTCCAAAATGATCTCCTTTGACTCTATATCTCACATCCAGGTCATGCTGATGAAAGAAGTGGGTTCCCATGGTCTTGAGCAGCACAACCCCTGTGGCTGTGCAGGGTACAGCTTCCTTCTTGGCTGCTTTTATGGGCTGCCATTGAGTGTCTTTGCTTTTGCAGGTGCACGGTACAAGTTGTCAATGGATCTACCATTCTGGGATCTAGAGGAAAGTGGCCCTCTTCTGACAGCTTCACTAGGAAGTGCCCCAGTAGGGACTCTGTGTGGGGACTCTGACCCCACATTTCCCTTCTGCACTGCCCTAACAGAGGCTCTCCATGAGTGCCTGCCACCCCAGCAAACTTCTGCCTGGACATCTAGGCATTTCCATACATCCTCTGAAATCTAGACAGAGGTTTCCAAACACTAATTCTTGACTTCTGTGCACTCACAGGCTCAACACCACATGGAAGCTTCCAAGGCTTGCAGCTTGCATCCTCTGAAGTCATGGCCTAAGCTTTACCTTGGCCCCTTTTAGTCAAGTCTGGATCAGCTTGAGCACAGAGCACCAAGTCCTAGACTGCACACAGCACAGGGGCCCTGGGCCTGGCCAGTGAAACCACTTTTTCCTCCTAGGCCTCTGGTTCTGTGACGTGAGGGGCTGCTGTGAAGACCCCTGACATGCCCTGGAGATATTTTCCTCATTGTATTTAGGATTAACATTTGGCTCCCTGTTACTTATGCAAATTTCTGTGCAGGCTTGGATTTCTCCTCAGAAAGTGGGATTTCCTTTTCTATCTCATTATCAGGCTGCAAATTTTCTGAACTTTTATGCTCTGTTTCCCTTTTCAAACTGAATGCCTTTAACAGCACCCAAGTCACCTCTTGAACGCTTTGCTGCTTAGAACTTTCTTCCATCAGATACTCTAAGTCACCTCTCTGAAGTTCAAAGTTCCACAAATCTCGAGGGCAGGGCAAAATGCTGCCAATCTCTTCATTAAAACATAACAAGAGCCACCTTTACTCCGATTTCCAACAAGTTCCTCATCTCCATCTGAGACCACCTCAGCCTGAACCTTATTGTTCATATCACAATCAGCATTCTTGTCAAAGCCATTCAACAAGTCTCTAGGGAGTTCCAAAATTTCACACATTTTCCTGTTTTCTTCTGAGCCCTCCAAACTGTTTCAACCTCTGCCTGTTACCCAGTTCAAGTCGCTTCCACATTTTCGGATATCTTTTCAGCAGTGCCCCACTCTACTGGTACCAATGTACTGTATTAGTCCCTTTCCATGCTGCTGACCAAGACATACATGAGACTGGGAAGAGAAGGATATTTAATGGAAGTACAGTTCCACATTGCCTGGGAGACCTCACAATCATGGTGGAAGGCAAGAAGGATCAAGTCATGTCTTCCATGGATGGCAGCAGGCAAAAAGAGATCTTGTGCAGGGAAACTCCCATTTGTAAAACTATCAGATCTCATCAGACTCATTCACTATCAAGAGAACAGTGCAGGAAAGACCCGCCCCTATACTTCAATCACCTCCCTCTGGGTTCCTCCCACACCACGTGGGAATTGTGGCAGTTACAATTCAAGATGAGATTTGGGGGGGGGACAAAGTCAAACAATATCAGGTATCCATATGATTTGTTTGGGCCAATGGAAGGTGTGTAGAAGAAAGAAAATGATTAGTACCAAGCTGAACACTTAATAGCTATTGCCTGTTCTCATTTGCACCTATAATGGTTCTGCCATTTGCTGTGAGAATGCATGTACTAGGAAGGTGTTAGTCAAAGAGATAAAGGAGACATTTGAGGTACATCTGTATCTAAATGTCATCCCTGCTTCTGGCCAACATGTGAGTGAGAAAATACTAATTTTGTTTGTTGCCAGCCAATGAGATTTTGATGCCGTTTGCTATGAACATTATTGCAGTAACAGTTGAACTCCAATCAATTTCTCCTTTAGCTAAATTAACCAGCCATGATAACACATTCTTCTATCTATATTTGAACATGGGTATATTGAAAAACTTACAGTGTGTTAATATGTGTGTGTGTGTGTGTGTAAGAGAAAGCTGAGTCTTTGTCCATGCATTGCTATGCTGCTTTTCCCTTCATACACTGAGAAAGCACCCACTCACTTTTGCAATGCCACATTCACACTCTTTAGAATATTTTACATAACCTACGCATACTTTTTTCCCATCCCTGCTTCTTGAAAACATTTTATTTTGTTGTTTGCTATAAAGTTTAACGTGACATTCAGGGCTTTTCACATGATCCTAACATGCAAGTCTATGCTTATGCTTTTCCTCTTCGATTCATACAAGGCAGCTCAGTTAAGGATGCCCAAATCTGTCCAAAATTTCTCACAGTTTTGCCTTTACTTATGTCATTTTCTTCACTTGGAAATTTTTCCATGTTCTAGCTTTTATATTCACCACACTTAATTTCTTGCATCAGAACCAAGGTGCCAAAGAGCTTAAATTGAACTGGATGTAACATTATATATTCCTACCTTAAAAATAAAATGCCAACTTAGAAATGATATATATAGAAAGAAAGTAAAAACAATTTTTCTCTTTTGTTTTCTTTTGTAAAGAGAAAAAAAATCAAAGAAAATAAAAGATGATTATAAGAAAGATATTGAAAAATCCTGGTTTACTTCCCACTCCCTAAAAAAAAAAATCTGAAGAAAAACATATCAAAGTAAACAGCGGATATTCTAGAAAATCTACAGTGAATACAGAGCAAAACAGAAGGTCATTTCTGTATGCAGTCTTGCCCAAAGCCAAGAAATAAAACCATAAATTATTTTTGAGATTTTGTTTTAAAGATCAAAAATAAAAAATACAAGCTATTATATTCTAGGATAAAAATCTCTTTTCATTTACTTTAGTTTCTGGCATTGTACATGTCTTTACTTTTCTTGGCATTAGTGTTCATTATTCAGAACAAACCAGTTTTAATATCTGTATCAAAGATTGATGATAAAGTAAAATTAGCTAAGTAAAAACTGTCACTTAAGCTTTATATATTTCATAGAACTTTCAGATTTGCTGGAATTTTGATAATAATAGACTAGTATAAATTTTCACATGTTAAAAATAATTTATATATCTATTACATATGGTCTTTCATAAAAATATGTGAATATAAAATTGCAAATGGCTTTTTTATGATATTGGAAAATATATATTTGCTTCAGTATAGAATCTAATTAATACTAATTATATAATTGTTTATATCAGAGCAAAACTTTAAGTTTTCATTTCCTAACCTCTATATCTGTACAAAGCAATTTTTAAGCTTATAAATTTAATATGTATTAAGAATGTGTTATATCCTTTTCAAATAAAATGCATTTTGATCTTGTATTTGACTACAATGAAGTGAACGATTGAAGAAAGTTTTAGAGTTTTTATTTCTGGTTAAGAAACATAGTAATCTGTGCAAGAGGGCATGAAGTTAAAATGATGAGATTCTATTAAATGGAGCTTAAGGAAGGTAAAGGTTGACTCTAAGAAAATTTGGTTGGGTTTTACAGAGAAACACATATCTGTGTGACATTTTACAGGCTAAAAACTTTAATAAAATAAAAGGTATTGCCATTTTAAAAGGTATTCATAGAAAATCTTCTAATATTTCAGAATTACAGAAAAACATTTGATATTTATAATTTAAAAAATTGATGTATTTTAGATAACTATCACACTTCTTAATTTAGTAACCTTAACAAAAGATCTAACAGTAAACAAAAGAAATCAATCTAATATTCTTATGAAGTCCATAGGTAAATTAAAATGGCCAAAAATTTTGAGCACTGAGTAAAGGTAGCTGACTAAAGCCTGAAGACAGACAATGAGGGAGAGACCATGTCTTGGGGTTCAATGTTCCAGGCAGAGGGAAGAGTGGGTGAAAAGCCTTTGAAGCAGGAGCATGCCTGATGTGTTCAAGAAACAGCAAAGAAGACAGTGTGGCTGGAGCAGACGATACAAGACAGAAGCAACAGGAGATGCGTTCAGACAGGAGCCAACCATGCACATCCCTGTATTTGGTGGTGGAGAATTTGATGTTTTACTCAGAATAATTTGCAATCAGTAGAGAGTTTTGAATAGAGGATTAACATGAACTGGATTACATTTAACAAGAAGCCCGTAGCTGAAGTGTTGGGAATGAATTGAACAGGAGCAAAGACAAAAGCAGGGAGATCAAAAAATAGTATTAAGTTTTCGTGATGTCCATGCCAAAAATTAAAGGAAAATGTGGACCATGGGTTAGAACCAGAATCAAATTAAAGGTGTTATGACCAGCAACCTACAGTATTTAGCAAAGCATACCACATATTTGTTAAAAATTAAAGTCACTTAAGCAAAATTTACTAACAGTTTTTACCAAATCTAACTAAAATAATTTTTAAATGTAGGATTTAAAATAAATGAAATTCAAGTAAAGCAGTTAAGAAACTGTTGATATAGTATAGCAGAGACAGAATATATATTTGGATTGTGGTGATGAACATGAAGAAATCAGCCAGGGTTTAAAAATATTTAGAACATACTGATCAATAGAATATTGCCATGGCTTACCTATGCCTTGAAGCATTAAGGAAGAGAGGCCAGGGTTTAGAATGTACTCAACTTCTAGGCTTCTGATTTGTGAAATAGAACTGATATTCAAAGGAAGAAATCTGGTACCTTGTCCCATCTACTGTTATATAAGCATGAAAATGAAAAAAAATGTACAGATATTAGGTTGGTGCAAAAATAATTGCCATTTTTGCCGTTACTTTTAATGTCAAAAACTGCAATCACTTTTGTACCAATCCAATAGAGGATCTACAACATATATCATTCTAGGTATAAACATATAGTGATGGTTTTAACACACATAGAAAGAAATGCCAAGTTGCCAGGTCTTCATTAATAGAAAGTGTATTTAATTAATATAATCATTTATAATTATTTTGACTACAGGTGATAAACTCATGGGTATGGCTGAGAGCATGTAGAGATCAAATATAAAACAAGAGAACCTAATTCAAGCAGGTGTTCTAATATTTTCTGCCATGGTGCAGATAGGATTGGCATGGAGATAGAAACATAAGGTCATCTTGTAACTGCATTTTCTATGGAAGCAATGTGGCATCCAGGGAAGCATGGGATATCTTGGCAGGATCACACTAACTTTTCCTAATTTATCCACGCCTCAAAACATGAGTAGACCACAGACCTGACAGAGAATATGATAATTGAAATTATTATCACTACACAGATTCAAAAGCATCTGAATAGAGAGGAAAACGGATTATCCAATGCCTGACAAAGTGGTTGGGGTTTTCCCTGATGCTCCAGAAAGGCAATTGAGTTTAGCTATGAAACAGATACAAGGATAGCTGGCAAGAAAGCGAGGTCAATCATAAAGCTAAATGCAGCGTCCTTGCTCCCAGGGCAAC
The DNA here is from genome assembly GCF_000001405.40 of Homo sapiens. Classification (NCBI taxonomy): domain Eukaryota; kingdom Metazoa; phylum Chordata; class Mammalia; order Primates; family Hominidae; genus Homo; species Homo sapiens. The sequence goes on along the minus strand of NC_000006.12, from coordinate 102,204,580 downwards.
CACCTCATCAACACAGAAAGTAAACTATGCAGAAATGAAATTCCTCTGTTAGAATTGCCCAGAGCTATGGTTCCCTTGCTGTTTGAGTCACTTTGCTAAATTGCTATACAGGAAATGTAAATTTAGATCAACAAGGCTTCCAGCATATGATCTGAGGAGAGCCCTAAAATAGCAGGTAGGTAAACAGTAAGGAAATTTAACAACATACACCAACACTAATTATAATATATACAAGATGGGGTGTATATAGAAATTCAAATGTAAATGAACAGTCACAAAATACCTTAAAGAAGGAAAGAACAAAATAAGGAAAAGGGATAAATGTGTTTTGGGCTGTAAAATGTTCTGTAACATAAAAGAAGTTATCATAGACAGAAAGATTTTGTGAAGAATAATTACAAAATGCCAGCAATTATTCCTATCTTTGTAACCATCACCCTTGTTATGGAACTTTAAGGGCACTCTCAATCTGACTCTGTGCCCTGTCCTGTGATTTGCTTTCCAATGGGACATCAGTGAATGAGAGGTAAGTATTTAAAAAACGATTGTGTCTTGCAGATTATCCTCTCTTGCTGCTCATGGAATGCTGATGCTCTATAAGAGGTATGGACTAACTAGCTGGATATGAGGAACAAGTGGTCCTAGTCATGTCTATGCCACAACCCACAGCCAACCAACTGCAAGACATGTGAGTAAAGCCTTCAACAATTAGCCAGATGAAAGATACTAGCCTAGATCACCTGCACCTGAATAATCCCTAGGAAAATCATCAGCTTACGTACCTTTAAGTCCCCAAGTTTAAAGTGATTTATGTGAAATTAAAACCAAGTGATACAGATATTTATGCATATTTTTGTTTCTAACAAAAGTACAAAAAGGATGTAATCCACCTTAACTCTGTGATTATGTATTTACCTATGATTATTGTATTAGTTCATCTTCACACTGCTAATAATTACTCGAAACTGGGTAATTTATAAAGAAAAAGAGGTTTAATGGATTCACAGTTCCGTGTAGCTGGGGAGGCCTCACAGTCATGGCAGAAGGCATGGTGGCATCATACATGGCAGCAGGCAAGAGAGAATGAGAGAGCCAAGCAAAAGGGGTTTTTCCTTATAAAACCATTAGATCTTGTGAAACTTATTTACTACACCAAAACAGTATGGGGGAAACAACCCCCATGATTCATTTATCTCCCACCAGGTCCCTCCCAAAACACAAGAGGTTTATGGGAGCTACAATTCACGATGAGATTTGGGTGGGGACATTGACAAACCATATCATTCCAAACCTGTCCCCTCTCAAATCTCATGTCCTCACATTTCAAAACCAATCATGCCTTCCCAACAGTCCCCCAAAGTCTTCTTTTTTTTATTATTATACTTTAAGTTTTAGGGTACATGTGCACAATGTGCAGGTTTGTTACATATGTATACACGTGCCATGTTAGTGTGCTGCACCCAGTAGCTCATCATTTAACATTAGGTATATCTCATAATGCTATCCCTCCCCCCTCCCCTCACCCCACAACAGGCCCTCGTGTGTGATATTCCCCTTCCGGTGTCCTTGTTCAGTTCTCACCTATGAGTGAGAACATGCAGTGTTTGGTTTTTTGTCCTTGCAAAAGTTTGCTGAGAATGATGGTTTCCAGCTTCATCCAAGTCCCTACAAAAGACATGAACTCATCATCTCTTATGGCTGCATAGTATTCCATGGTGTATATGTGCCACATTTTCTTAATCCATTCTATCATTGTTGGACATTTGGGTTGGTTCCAAGTCTTTGCTATTGTGAATAGTGCCTCAATAAACATACGTGTGCATGTGTCTTTATAGCAGCATGATTTATAATCCTTTGGGTATATACCTGGTAATGGGATTGCTGGGTCAAATGGTATTTCTAGTTCTAGATCCCTGAGGAATTGCCACACTGACTTCCACAATGATTGAACTAGTTTACAGTCCCACCAACAGTGTAAAAGTATTCCTATTTCTCCACATCCTCTCCAGCACCTGTTGTTTCCTGACTTTTTAGTGATCGCCATTCTAACTGGTGTGAGCCCTCAGAAATAATGCCACATATCTACAACTATCTGATCGTTGACAAACCTGACAAAAACAAGAAATGGGGAAAGGATTCCCTGTTTAATAGACGGTGCTGGGAAAACTGGCTAGCCATATGTAGAAAGCTGAAACTGGATCCCTTCCTTACACCTTACACTAAAATTAATTCAAGAAGGATTAAAGATTTAAATGTTAGACCTAAAACCATAAAAACCTTAGAAGAAAACCTAGGCTAAAATACCATTCAGGACATAGGCAATGGGCAAGGACTTCATGTCTAAAACACCAAAAGCAATGGCAACAAAAGCCAAAATTGACAAATCGGATCTAATTAAACTAAAGAGCTTCTGCACAGCAAAAGAAACTACCATCAGAGTGAACAGGCAACCTACAGAATGGGAGAAAATGTTTGCAATCTACTCATCTGACAAAGGGCTAATATCCAGAATCTACAAAGAACTCAAACAAATTTACAAGAAAAAAACAAACAACCCTATCAACAAGTGGGTGAAGAACATGAACAGACACTTCTCAAAAGAAGACATTTATGCAGCCAAAAGACACATGAAAAGATGCTCATCATCACTGGCTATCAAAGTCTTAACTCATTTCAGCATTAACACAAAAGTCCACAGTCCAAAGTCTTGTCTGAGACAAGTCAAGTTCCTTCTACTCAAGAACTTGTGAAAACAAAAGCAAGTTAGTTACTTCCTAAATACAAGAAAGGTACAGACATTAGATAAGTACACTCATTCCAAAAGAGAGGAATTGGCCAAAACAAAGGGGCTAAAGTCCCTCTGCAAGTCCAAAATCTAGCAGTGCAGTCAAATCTTAAAGCTTGAAAATGTTCTCTTTTGACTTTATGTCTCACACCCAAGCAAAAATGGAAATCCCTTTTAAAACCATCAGATCTCGTAAGACTTATTTACTACCATGACAGCAGTATGGAGAAAACTTCCCCCATGATTTAATTATCTATCTCTGGGTCCCTCCGACAACACATGAGAATTATGGGAGCTACAATTCAAGATGAGATTTGGTTGGGAACTCAGCCAAACCATACCAATTATGATCTAGTTGATACAAATCTGTGGAAAATGAGACAAAATTGGGGAGTCATGCCTTATTAGAAAGACAGAGAGATATTTTTAAACCAGTGACACTAAATGTAAGAAGTTTTTAAATATGTTGAAAACTGAATATGTAACAATTGCAAACAACAACAAAAAAATCCCAAAATAAAAAAATGAGAACAGTAATAATAAAGGTCTAAAGCCCATATTATATTAATGAAAAGCAATAAAAAAGAATATGAGTCAGTAGAAAAAGGAAATGGCATACTTTATATTTGGATTGATACATTAGGAACTCAAAACACACATTCTTGATTAACATAATTAATAAAATATAAATCAGATGAATGATGTGTTTAGTAAATATTATTACTAGTAGACCTAAAAATAGTATATATAGCTAAGAACCTCAATCAAAGCAAAGCATGTGTAGCTATATGAAAACACAGACATATAAATTATGTGATGATAAATGTGAGGCAAATAGATTATGCAAATACAACAAAAGAAAACTAGGTCACTCAAATAATGTAAGAAAAATAAAATTAAAGGCAAAAATCATTAAAAGGTACAGTCATTTGATTTTTATAGATAGTATAACCTACAATGCAGATATAATACCATAAACTTTCAGTTCACAAGTTGAACAAAGATTGATAGAACAAAAGCAAACTTCTAACACATCAACTTAGAAGAAGAAATTAACATAATTATATGGTTGTAGAAGACTGTACCTCACTACTTCTTCCCTCTAGATATACAAATAAATAAGAAATCACAGAATCTGAGTTATTCAAATAATTTTAAGTACTAGAAAATGAAGTTTTAAAAATTAGAGTGTATTTATATTTAAATTATTATTAAAGATACCAACATGAAGAACCCAACCACCTGAAAATATTTAAACTTAAATATTTCTGAAAAAGCAAACCACAAAATTGTGATTGTACATGTTTAAAAAATAATGGTATGTCAAAAATGTTTAGAATGAATCCCAAACTATATTTAAATAAAAATGCTCAGTTTAAAGTACAGTAAGTCCTCACTTAATGATATCAATAGGGTCTTGAAAACTGCAACTTTAAGCAAAACATCTTCCAGTAGGTCCTTTAAAAACAACATTTCGTTTTTAGTGTTGTTTCATTGTGACATTGATGAGAAAAACAATTTGTTTTGTTATATATAGCTTTGCTTAAAGTCACAGTTCCCAAGAACCTATTGACGACATTAAGTGAAGACTTACTGTAGTTTCCTTCTCGAATTACAAAGAATATAACAACGTTAAGCAATCAAGGCAACGGTTAGAACAATTAAAAATTCAAATTAAGTTTAGTAAATATACACAAGAAGGATAAATGTTTTTTCAGAACATATACAGAGAAAGAATAGAAAGAGAAAATGGAAGAAGTACTCCCTTCTCCCAACCCTTTTATTTATAACATTTATAAGTTAGTCCTCTTATATTCAAATTTTCTAATAGGATTTAATTTGAACAAAGTGTTCAAAAGCTAAAAATTGTTAGAAAACACTGGTTTCAAGCAATGTTACTTGTGCATATTAATACAATTATATTAAATAAATGCCAATCAAATAAAAAATAAAACCAGAGTATATCAGCTATAGTTTTTGATAATCATACAATACCTACCAGTATAAACCTATAAATGGAATGCAAAACTTGCATTAGTCAAAAGGTATAAAAAGAAATAAAAAAGATCTTCAGGGACATAAAAATGAATTCAAGAAAATTAATTATTCATTACTAATAGAAATATTTTGGTAAATTAGCTGACAAATAATTTTTTAAGTCAGAAATAAGACAAAATGTTTATATTACTCCTATTATTTAAAATAGATTTGGGAATTCTAGCTAATACAACAGAAGAAGTAAAATATCCAATAAATGTAACTGTTGAAAAGAAGGAAATAGAATAAATATTCTATGCATATTTGGAGTATCTCTTATGAAAACCCAAGAATATCAACTGTAAAACGAAGTGACCAACATAAAAGTTGAATGATATGGATAGTTTTAAAATAGATATAAAACAGCTAGTAGCTATCGTTTCCAACATAAAAACTATAAATAATTTAAAAACAATTTTCATTGGATAATTTAATCATACACAATAACATTAAAATTCCTATGACTACATTTAAAATAAAATAGTAAAACCTATAAAATGAAAATAACAACCTATTAGGGGTAATAAAAGAATTTTTAAATAAACATCAGAAACATTTCATGTTTGTGCATAGGAAGATTAAATATCGTAGAGTTTCTAACTCTCTAAAAATGAAGCTACAAATTTAATGCAATTCCAATTGATTCTTTTTTGCACCTCAAAATATGAAACTTATTGTGTCTGTGTAAACTTGCATAGGTCTATGTGTGCAGGCATACACAAAGACACACGTCTATGAAACATCAATAGATTTGCAAAGTATGGCTTAAATATATTAACACAGCCACTTGGCAACACAAATATATTAGATTTCTTCCTGTTATACACACAATATAAAGAATATCTATGTCTTAAGGAACCATGTAAAAAGGAAATAAAAGGAAAACCACAATAAGTGAAACATGTGCACATATATACAAGGGTTATTGTTTTAATATGGTAATATTTATTTTAAACTATTAAAAAGTGACAAGAATAGAAAAAAAGGTAAAAGATATAAAAAGTTGGATACCCAAAGAAACATATAAACGGCCAATTGGCATTGAAAATTTGTTCAGTTTGGCTTAACTCATCAGGAAGACAGCTTCTTCTCCACGGGGCTAGCTAAACTAAGAGGGCTTGACAATGAAGCTTGCTGCAACCGCTGCTCCTGCTCTCCAGAAAGAAGTTTTGTAAAGACTGACTCATGCAGAGATGTACAGAGCAGAGAAATGGAGAAAGAGTCCCTGGACATGGCTGTGCTAAAAGCCAGAACTGCACAACCCTGAACTTGGGCTAGTGGGACTTTGTAATTAAATGAGGAATCAAAGTATTATTTTAATATTAAAATAAAGTTTATTTTATCTAGGGCTCAGATAAAGATGGTGGTGATTAACAAAGTTTGGAATTAAGAGATCAAATAAATAATTCCAAATTGCCTATTTACATATATAAATGTAAATTGGTAATCCTTTTGGAGAGTATTTGGCAATATTTATCAACCAACTCCAAAAATTTAAACTATCTGGACTAGTAAGACCTTTCTTTGAAAAATATCCTATGCAAATAATCACTTTGCACACAAAAATATATGTATAAGAATTTTAGCAATATAATTATTTATAATAGGAATAAAAAGAAAACTATATGTTAATAGTAGGGATTACTTCAATAAATTATGGCAAATTCCTTGAATAATAAGAGCATTTTCAGAAAAATATTTCATAAAATGTTAAAACTTTGCTGATATTCTGTTAATTAAAAATAGGAATTTTATTATGTTTCAATCTTTGTTGTGGGAAGTCAGGGACCCGGAACAGATGGATCAGCTGAAGCCACAGCAGAAGAAGATAAATTGTGAAGATTTCATGGACATTTATTAGTTCCCCAAATTAATACTTTTGTAATTTCTTAAGCCTCTCTTTACTGCAATCTCTGAACATAAACTGTGAAGATTTCATGGACATTTATCACTTCCCCAATCAATACTCATAATTTCCTATGCCTGTCTTTACTTTAATCTCTTAATCCCATCATCTTCGTAAGCTGAGGATGTATGTTGCCTCAGGACCCTGTGATGATTGTGTTATCTGTACAAATTGTTTGTAAAACATGTGTGTGTGAACAATATGAAATCTGGGCATCCTAAAAAAAAGAATAGGAAAACAGCAATTTTCAGGGAACAAGGGAGATAACCATAAGGTCTGACTGCCTTCAGGGCCAAGCAGAACAGAGTCATATTTCTCTTCTTGCAGAAAGCGAATAGGAGAAATACTGCTGAATTCTTTTCCCAGCAAGGAATAACCCTGGGAAAGGAATGCGTTCCCAGGGGAGGTCTCTAAAATGGCCGCTCTGGGAGTGTCTGTCTTATGTGGTTGAGGATAAGGGATGAAGATAAGGAGACCCTGGTCTCCTGCAGTGCCCTCAGGCTTGCTAGGATTAGGAAATTCCAGCCTGAAAAATTCTAGTCAGACTGGTTGTCTGCTCTCCAACCTGGTTTCTTTCCTGTTAAGATGTTTGTCAATAACAAGGCATGCCCAGCAGGACATGGAACTTCATCAGTAATTCTAATTTCGCCCTGGCCTTGTGATCTTGTTCTGCCATTTGCCTTATGATTTTTATTGCCCTATGAAGCATGTGATTTTTGTGACCCACTCCCTATTCATACACTCCTCCCCTTTTGAAATCCCTAATAAAAACTTGCTGGCTTTGCAGCTCAGGTGGGCATCACGGAAACTGCCGACATGTGATGTCTCCCTCCAAGGCCCAGCTGTAAAATTTCTCTCTTTGTACTCTTTCTCTTTGTTTCTCAGACTGGCCGACACTTAGAGAAAATAGAAAAGAACCTACGTTGAAATATTGGGGGCTGGTTCCCCCAACAGATCTTATTTAGAAAGATCTGTTACATCTTTCTAAATTTAAATGTTACAAGAATTACATATATAGAAAAATGGAAAATAAAAATTGATATAATAATATCAAGTATGAATATTAACAGTAATTACATCTCTGTATACAAAATATGTTATCTCAATACTTTCCCATTTAATTGCATTTATGTACCAAATGTATTTCATTGACCATCTACACATTTTTAGTTTTGATAAAAATGAATTTTATTAAAATAAGGAGAAATCCATGGAAGGACTACACAATAGAAAGAGAGAAGAGAAGCTTATCAGTTAAATAAAATAGACCCAGAAAAAAGTGGGGCAAGATGGCAGTTAGTATTCTTCAGCAATTGTCTCTCCACAGAAACATCAATTTAAACTAATATTCATGAACACACATACATATAAACTTCACAACAGCTAAGGAAACCAAGTGACAGATTACAGTACCTGGTTTAGCACAATAATAAGAAAAGACACAATAAAGGTAACAATTTTATGTTACCCATGTCACCCCTCCCCTAAACCCAGGCAGTGCAGGATGGAGAGAATTACCAGCCAACTTAAGGGGCAAAGAGGAAATAAGGATAGGAGTTTGTCTTGAACCCCTAACACCAGTCTATCAGAGTAAAAGCCAGCACTGGGCAGACCCCCACACCAATACCCTGGAATGAGCCTCCATCCCTATTTTGACACCAGCAGGAACCTATAGTCCCTGTGAGGCAAATTCAATCTCCAGTTTACATCAGGGCCAGCTGACTACAGTAGTCTTGGGCTCCAGACAATGCTCAGTAACATACAGGCCTCAATGGCAATGTGCTTCGGGCTTGACCCAGCACTTCACCAATCTACCTGAGACAAGATTCCATCCTTGCACTCCACTGATACCCCAGTGCTTAGGGTTTCTCCCTGTGCGGCAATGACCACAGCAGTCCCAGGATTAGGGACCATGCCAGGTGGGCTCCCCAGAATTTAAGAAAGGGATTACTACTGAAAAAGTTCTCAAAGCCAGTCTGGGAAGTCAGGAATTATGATGCACTTCTTCAAATGTGCAGGTATAAATGCATAGTCACAAGGATCAAGAATAATTCAGAAAACACGAAATCATCAAATGCACATTACAAAGTGCCAGTGACTGATGCTAAAAAAAAGGGAGTCATATGAACAATCTGACAAAGGATTTTGAAATAATTGTTTTTAAGGAAGGTCATTAAACTTCAAAAAATGCATAGAAATGATTCAGTGAAATGAGGAAAACAATAAGTGGCCAGAGAGATTGAAATAATTTTAAAAATCAAGCAGAAATCCTGAAACTGAAAAATACTATGAACAAAATAAAAAATTCAATAGAAAGTATCAATAGCAGAATTGATCAAACATAACAAGAATCTGTGAAAATGAATACAGAGTATTTGAAAAAATATAGTCAGAAAAAAAAGGAAGAAAGAATGTAAACAAAGAATAAAGAAAGCTTCTAGGGAGGCCTCTGGCACCTTACAAACATGGTGGAAGGCAAAGTGGGAGGCAGCACATCACGTGGCAAAAGCAGGAGTAGGAGAGAGAGAGTGCAGGGGAGGTGCCACACACTTAAATGACCAGATCTCACAAGAACTCACAATCACGAAGACAGCATCAAGCCACGAGGAATCTACTAACCATGATCCAAACACCTCCCATCTGACCCCACCTCAGGCACTGGGGATTGCAAGTGATCATGAGATTTGGGCGGGGACAAATATCCAAACTGTATCATTCCTCCTACTGTGTAATAGAACACCAGAACTTACTTCTCCTAACTAATAGTAACTTTACATTCACTGACCAACCTCTCTCCACCCTTCTCTCCCCTCAATTTTCCCTAATCCCTGGTAAAAACTGCTTTACTCTCTGCTTCTATGATACTACTTTTGTTTTTTTCTTCAGGTTCCATATCTGACTGAAATCATGTAGTATTTTTCATTCTACAAAAAAAGATGTTTTTGTTTATCCATTCAACAATAATTTTTGGGGCCTTAGATGATTTATTTAAAACTCCCTTATTAAGTTGTGTTTGTGTGTGTGTGTGAGTGTGTGTATGCGTGTGTGTTGCCTTAAATTTACTAAGGCTTCAATTAATGGTTCTAAAAATTAAAAACAAGACAAAACATGGAGTTAGCTCTGGGTATTGGCCTATATGTGGATATCCCATAAGCTGTTTATAATTTGGTCATTAGAAACCCACATGCTGCTTTGGCTGTTACAAATTTGAAATTAGTCATATTTTTGTGCTTGCAGCAATTTCACTGAAAAAAAAATGTAACTGATTTATATTGATCCAAGTAGTAACAACTACATTTTTGGCTCTCCAGTTGGTTCTTTTAAAAAATTATCCTCTATTTAATTAGTTGCCTTTAATTAATTGCCTTAGTGCCTTCACTAGGAAATTTATTCTGGATTGCTAACCTGTATAATCATAAGAAAAAATATACCAAAAAACCTAGGTATCTGCTCAGGTGACTCACTGAACAGAAATGAAGTGAAATCAGCATTTTCAAGGGATAATCCATACCTTAAAGGGAATGCTTCCATGTCTTCATTTATGTTCTGCCTTCCACCTGGATGCTTTTCCTCTCTCTTTTCCCTAGCTAATGTTTATCATGCATGCATTTGTTTAAGTTTCACTTTCTCAGGAAAATTTAATTATGTCACTAATCTATCCAATCTGACCAATTCCTTCCCCATTCATTAAAGCTAAAGTACAAGGCCCTACTGGATAAACACATGTGTCCTTATTAGATTCCCGACATCACATACCTCACCCTCTCCTTCTCTCACTCCTAACAGTGGGCTATACTGCCTTCCTTGCTGTTTATCAAACATACAAGTCATATTCTTTTCTCAGGGTCATGCCATTGCTGTTCCATCACTGGGTACACTCTGTTCCAGTTGCAACAAATCTAGCTCCCCTACCTCATTTATATCTTTCCTCATATGTCATTTACTTAATTTTGTCTAATCCAAATATTCTATTTAAAATGAAGTTCCCCAATCATGCATCAAACTCATTTCTGACTTTATTTTCCTCCATAACACCCATCATTATCTGTTATATCATACTGTATACTATACCCTAGACTATTAACTTCGAAAAGACAAAAAAATTTTGTCTGTTTCATTGACTGGTGTATCCACACCTACACTCCATAATACTTGGAATAATGCCTGGCTTGTAGTAAGTGCTCAATAATTACTTTTGAGTAAACAAATGAATGGGTGAATTATTTATATTAAGGACTTTTAACCGGAGAATTGTTGATTCTATCTGGTTTACAGATTGGCTTCATAGGCTCAATGAGTCTCTTGAAATTGATTATAAAAAAATATGCCTAAGTCTGCCTGTGTAATTTGTGGGAAATGTGTGGGTAGCTATCATAAATATGAGATATAAGAGACTGCAAATGTAATTTACTTTTCAACATTCAATATGTTTTAGGTGCTCAAAATGATATTTGACATTATTACTATATTGAATGGTATATTCCTGTTTATTCGTGTTTCTTTCAATGTACTACAATAAAAACTTTTCAAAAATTCTGAACTCATGGTATCTAACATGTTTAAACTTATATTATCTCATATTTAAAATAATCTTTATTCTTATATTATCAAGCATAAAGCAAGCTAGTATTGCTCAATAAATATTTGATGAACTGGCTGGATGTGGTGGCTCATGTCTGTAGTCCCAGCACTTTGGGAGGCCAAGGTGGGTGGATCACTTGAGGTCAGGAGTTTGAGACTAGACTGGCCAACATGGAGAAACACCGTCTCTACTAAAAATGTAAAAATTAACCGGGTGTGGTGGTGGGGGCCTGTAATCCCAGCTACTCAGGAGGCTGAGGCAGGAGAATTGCTTGAACTCGGGAGGCAGAGGTTGCAACGAGCAGAAATTGTGCCACTGCACTCAAGCCTGGGGTGACAGAGCAAGAATCTAACTCAAAAAAACAAAAACAAACAAACAAAAAATTGATGAACTCTACAGTATATTTACCTTCCCTTTTTTTTTTTTTTTTTTGAGACGGAGTCTAGCTCTGTCGCCCAGGCTGGAATGCAGTGGCGCCATCTCTGCTCACTGCAAGCTCCACCTCCCGTGTTCATGCCATTCTCCTGCCTCAGCCTCCTGAGTAGCTGGGACTACAGGCGCCCACCACCGCACCCGGCTAATTTTTTGTATTTTTAGTAGAGACGGGGTTTCACCGTGGTCTTGATCTCCTGACCTCGTGATCCGCCCGTCTTGCACTCCCAAAGTGCTGGGATAACAGGCGTGAGCCACTGCGCCTGGCTTTTTTTTTTTTTTTTTTTTTTTTAAGATGAAGTGTCACCCTGTCGCCCAGGCTTGAGTGCAATGGTACGATCTCAGCTCACTGCATCCTCTGCCTCCTGGGTTCTAGCAATTCTCCTGCTTCAGCCTCCTTAGTAGCTGGGATTACAGGCATGCACCACCACGTCTGGCTAATTTTTGTATTTTTAATAGAGATGGGGTTTCACCATGGTGGTCAGGCTGGTCTTGAGCTCCTGACCTCAGGTGATCCACCGGCCTTGGCCTCCCAAAGTGCTGGGATTACATGTACAGTATATTTAAAATGTAATTTAAAAGAAAAATAAAACTAGTTCAATTTGTTACACTGAATGAGTACATGCCCATCTCCTCTTATGCCCAAGACTCCATTAAAAGCAGATAGATGGAACAAAAGTTAAGACAACAACCAAAACGAGAACAGGATGTGACTATTATTGAACACAGAATTGAATTACATTGTTGGAAGATGGACAATGAATAAAGAAGCAATGTCTAACAAAGACGGGTTTAGAAGACTTGGGCCTCTAACTCTCAGAAGGGCTAAAGTATAC